>NT_187686.1:0-215732 GCF_000001405.40 Homo sapiens | reverse complement strand
GAATTCCCCATGAGTCCTGTGACCTCAGCCCACACGGGGACCTACAGGTGCTACGGCTCACTCAGCTCCGACCCCTACCTGCTGTCTCACCCCAGTGGCCCCGTGGAGCTCGTGGTCTCAGGTGAGGGCGCTGACCCTGTCCTCTCTGAGCTCAAAGGCTCAGCTCAGGCCCTGCCCCCAGCAGAGCTCTGGACACTAAGGAAAGAGGGGAGTGAAGGGAGAGGGTCCGCAGGGGAGGGTCCAGCCCATGGGAAGATGGAAATAGACAGGGACCTCCCACCCCTGGCTCCCACCCCTGAAGTCTCAGTAGAGTAAAGTGCAGGGAGGGCTGGGAGGAGACGGGGGGTGAACCTCAAAGGAGTTGAGATTAGACTGAGGGTGGAAGACGGAGGCCCCACCTGCTCCCATCCTGGTGTCTCCACCTCAGAATCAGAGCCTCTGTGTCCCAGTCCCCAACAGACGCCCTCCTGGAGAGAGAAGCATCCAGGCTGCCGGTGCCACCTGCATCCACCCCCGACCCCCCCCCACCCCGCCCCACTTCCTGCTTTCCCCTGCAGCCTCCCCAGCACTCAGCGCACACCTGAGCCTCACAGGGACTTGCACGTGCTCCCGCAGCAGCTCAGGGAATGTGCACCGCTCCTCTTCTGCGCCGTTGACATTTTTTATTTGGGTTTTTAAAATCTCATATTGGCCTTTTTGTCCAAGCTGGTGAAAGTAGATTTGCAGCATCACCTATTTTTATTCTCACCCGGTTTCGTAATAGCCCTGATCTCACGTGCTCCCTGAGGTTTTGTAAACTTCAGGTAGAAATGTGGACTTCCTTCGTTCTGGACATTTGCTATGGAGGGGGTAGGGCTTATCTTTTCAGAAAAAGTCAAATGACTGGTACCACTCCTTGAAACCCTACAGCACTTTCCAGACCTCAGAGGGAGGGAGAGAGAGGCAGAGACAGAGACAGAGAGACAGAGAGAGAGATATTGGGGCCGCTCTTTCCTGGCCGGTTCATCCTGGCCTATTCTCAATCCACCAAGGCCCCGAAGCTCATCTCCCCTCCTCCTCTGCCTCCTCCTCCACCCTGTAGACAAGCGGCCATTCCTTTCTGAAGAACAGGCTGAGACCTTTCTGGGACCTGCTCTTTCTGGAGCCTCTGTTGCTCCCTGTCTGGGTCTCCACACGCCTCCTTCCTGGCCCTTTTTCCTATTGAGGAATCAGCTTCAATGTCACCTCCAAGTGTGACCTTCACTGACGACACAGCTCAGCCCAGTCCTGCCTGCTTCTCATTTATGTCAAGTAATTAACCAACCTACACCATGCGGCTGAATTCCTTCTCTCTCTCTTCCACTCTCTGCATATACGTGTGTGTGTGTGTGTGCGCGTGTGTGGTCACACCAACATCTTACGTGACATTGAAACCTAGTTATCCGTATATCTATACAAATAATATATATTCACACATAAATATAGGTCTCTACCAATATATCTAAAACCATTGCTACGACTAGTAAATTTCCACTGCTGTGTTTCTATATGTTTGCTGTTTGTCTCCAGGTGAACCCACACTTCAAGAAGGCAGAGATAGTTTTTAAGGCCCACTATATATATAAAACAGATATATATTTGTGTTTGTGTTTTTCTGTGTGTGTATCACATTCTACCTGTTGCTGCCTATACGAATAATTAGCTACCTAGAGATTAAATGGACAATGAAACTCCAGGTGAAGTGGCTGAGGGCATGAAGGGGAGGCAGCCCCAGAATTTCACCCCTTTGTGCTTCTGACATTGAGGCTCCCCTGATGACTAACCCTCATCCACGGAGCCTGGGTCCTCAGCTGGTGGATCCGTGAAACTCTCATCTCCGGGGGAGTTGGCTCATGTTCTCCTGTGTCCCAGGCTGCACAGAGAGCACACAGGCCTTAGTGACCTCTGTACTGGGGACCACTTTCCTTGCAGATCCTGAGCTCTCAGGATGCAGGAAAACTCTCTCCCAGATGACTCAGGAGCAATGTTTAAATCCATAGAACACAGGAAAACTGAAATCGTTCAATGAGGAGACTAGAGGGAATCCTGCTAGCGGAGGAAGAGGTTTTTTTTTTTTTTTTTTAGAAATTCTGTAAAAGTCACATCATGAGACATTAAGTAATAAAAAAAAAATTGCAGAGCCCAGGTGAGAGGCTGGGCTCAGGTCTCTTTTTCTCTGTTTTGATTCTCTGGAGCAGCTGATACCCTCAGCCCATCACAAAACAAGTCTGACTCTGAGACTGGTATGTGAGGAGATACTCTCAGTGATGGGGCTGGCACTGAGGGTTGGGTCCTGTGAAGGGGAGGTGGGTGCCCTGGGTGGACAATCTGATCCACCCTGACCTCTGTGACCTCTTTGTCCACCATCCCCAGCCTCACACCTTCAGGATTACGCAGTGGAGAATCTCATCCACATGGGCGTGGCTGGCTTGATCCTGGTGGTCCTCGGGATTCTGTCATTTGAGGCTTGGCACAGCCAGAGAAGCTTCCCAAGATGCAGCCGGGAGGTGAACAGCAGAGAGGATAATGTACTTTATAGAGTCGTGAAGCCTCAGGAACAGATCTGATGATCCCAGGAGGTTCTGGAAGAAAATCTAGGGCCGATGCTATCTGGACTGTCTGCTGGTCATTTCCAGAGGAAGGAATCAATGTCCGAGTGCAGGGACATTTTCTGGGGTGATCCATGGAGAACCATTAAAATGTGATACCTTTCCTCTCCATTAATGTTGACTTTCCTTGGTTGGATCTGCCTCTTTTCCCACACTTAGACATGAGGCTCCATCCCACATGGCAGCGTTGGGTCCACACCTCTGCACACCTGCATGCTCTGGTCCATGGCGTGTCACACAGTCCTCTTCATTTCTCATTGCCACACTTCCTGGTGTACTTTACTGGGTCTTCATGTCTTCAGTTCAGAGTTCCGCACCTGGTTTAGGAACTAATTCAACGGGAGAAGATCAGAGTCCGACCAGGAAAAGATAAATGCACCGTGATGCCCTCACCTCCTGTGTGGACCCTATGAGCTCTTCCCTCCTTATCAGATGCTATCTGTGTAGTTTCTCCTGAAATATCACCACCTGGAATCAACACACTGGCATTTGAAGTCACGACCCAATGGTATGCTAATTCTGAAAAAGACATTTTTTGAAATGCTATGATTAGTGGCATTTACCAATTTCCTTGACGTAAATTCTTTTTTCATGGCCATAATCAAGATGCCAACGAGACATCCCTGAATGCAGGGTTGGGAAGCGTTGGACAGACTTGTCTTCACTCATAAGCACCAGGCATCTGATAGCTCACGTATACATCTTATTACCTTCCATTTTAGAGTGAATAATCATTTCTACTTCAGTATTTTGGCACAGGTAAAAGCAGTCCCATTACTGCGCGTATACCCAAAGGAATATAAATCATTCTATTGCAAAGATACATGCACACATGTGTTCATCGCAGCACTATTCACAATAGCAAAGACATAGAATCAACCCAAATGCCCATCAATGATAGACTGGATAAAGAAAATGTGAGACATATACACCACGGAATACTATGAAGCCATAAAAAGAAACAAGATCATGTCCTTTGCAGGGACATGGATGGAGCTGGAAACCATTATCCTCAGGAAACTAACACAGGAACAGGAAATCAAACGCTGCATGTTCTCACTTACAAGTGGGTGCTGAACAATGAGAATGCGTGAACACAGGGAGGGGAACAACACACACTGGGGCCTGTCGGGGGGGGGGTGGGGTAGGGGTAGGGAGAGCATTAGGAAAAATAGCTAATGTATGCTGGGCTTAATACCTAGGTGATGGGTTGACAGGTGCAGGAAACCACCATGGCGCACATTGACCTATGCAATAAGCCCACACATTCTGCACATGTACCCCGGAACTTAAAATAAAAATAAAAATTAAAATTAAATTATGACACCATGATCCTAGCATATCCAAAAAAGACAAAAATGCCAATATCAAATGTCGGAGAAAATAGGGCTGAATTAAAAATCCAATACAACGCCGGGCGCAGTGGCTCACGCCTGTAATCCCAGCACTTTGGGAGGCCAAGGTGGGTGGATCACTTGAAGTCAGGAGTTTGAGACCAGCCTGGCCAAACGTGGTGAAACCCTGCCTCTACTAAAAATACAAAAATTAGCCGGGTGTGGTGGCACTCGCCTGTAGTCCTAGCTACTAGGGAGGCTGAGGCAGGAGAATCACTTGAACCCGGGAGGCGGAGGTTGCAATGAGCTGAGATCATGCCACTGAACTCCAGCCTGGGTGACAGAGCGAGACTCCGTCTCAAAAAAAAAAACAAAAAAAAAAAACCCTCAAAAGCTCAGGCAGCAAAAGCAAAAATAGGCAAATGAGATCATAGCAAACTGCAAACCTTCTGCACAATCAAGGAAACAAACAGCAGAGTGAAGAGACCACCTACAGAATGGGAAAGAATATTTGCAAGCAAGAGATTAATCTCCAGAAAATACAAGGAGCTCAAACAATGCAGAGGTTTTGAAGGATGGTGATGAGAAGGTTCTGCTACTTACAGAAAGGAAGTTTAGGAGAAACAAAACCACAAACCTAGGTGGTGGGATGGCTTGATCTGCTTCTGTCTGTGACTCACTTAACAGTCTTAAACACATCTCCCTAAGCCTCCTTCCCCCGGTGGGATTCCTGGGTCTTGTGAGGACCTCATCGGTCCCTCTGGTAAACCCAGGCACAGAGTGGAGCAGCTCTTGTTTTCTCAGGATCTTCCCCTTCACATACAATTAACGCACCCACACGATGCTACTCTTAGAACCCTTCAAATAAATGTTTCCCGGTTCATTCACTACCAGAATCCAAGCTCAGCTTGTTCCCCAGCTTAGGACTGAGTGGTATCTTGGAGGTAGTTTCCACCATAGCCCCCTTCCTCTGCTATAAGGCTCAGTGACACACCAGAGACACCCCCTCCAGCCAGGCTCCTGGAAGGTCTGGATGAAGACTGGGATGCTGAGGCATTGCTCAGCAATGTGGCTTAACTCAAACTTCTATGTGAAACTTCCAACCACTTTCAGCAAGGGGTCACTTCCAGCGTCTTGGGGTGTGAGGGCACTTTGGTTGGTCCCTGCAATATCAGACCCTATAAAGATCCTACAAACATGTTGCAGACTCTTTGAAGATTCTGGCACTTTCAGACATGCTGTTGGGAAATGGTGACACCCATAACCTTCTAGTTCCAGGACAGGGAGCCTTAGCCCAGGGCTATGTTTTCTGAGGGTCCTCAAAGTAAACAGTTCTATGTGCCAGGAGAACCCTAAATCTCATATGGTTCTAAGGGCAGAAAGCCACACACGCACCGGCAAAAAGCAAGAGATTCAAGGAAAAGCTGAGCAAAGACAGACAGGAAAACACACACATGATGAGCCAGCTTGTAGAGCTAGAACTGAGATGGAGAGAGGCACGAGTGGGTAACAGAGTGTGCTCCCCAGAACAGGTGGAGAGAATGCCTTTTTCATGCCCTGAGGATAGGCTGGGTAAGGCTTGTGCTCGACAGTCAAGGACTATTTTTTTCCCCAGGCGTCTACAAGAGACCTTCCTTCTCAGCTCAACTGTGCCCTGCAGTAAGTAATGATGGAGAGAATGTGACTTTGCTCTGCAGCTCTGGAAGCTCATTTGACCTGTGCCTTCTAACGAGGAAGGTAAGGCCCCTGGACACTGGCTCACTGGGGTGCAGAGACAGAGTGGGGCATTCAGGCCAACTTCTCTCTGGGTCTTGGGGCTGGTGATGGGACCTCTAGATGCTGCAGCTCTCTGTCGATGGCTCTGCCTGTGAGTGATCAGCCCTAGATGACCACTGTTACTGGGGGTAGCCCATGCCTGCTGCATGCCCTGTGAAACACTAAATCATATAGCCACGTCTGAGGGACAGCCTGCTGGAGACATGGGAATCTTAGGGATTCCAGACAAAATGAAGCAATGAGAAACACAAAGAGGAAAAGAGAGGTTGAGTATGACAGTGGTGTCAGGGTGTAGGGTGGTAGACAGGGCAGCTCCACACTCTCCACTGCTTCCTGTCTGGAGGCCCACTTTGGGGTCCTACTTATCCAGGTGAGTGAAGGAAGAGGTCAGGACAAACACAGGAGGTGAAGCCAGATACAGTGTGGGGAGATAAGCAGTGGCCTCAGCCTCTAGCCCTTTTCCATCTTCCAGAAGCCCCTCCTGAGCTCTCATCACAGACAGATTTCCCATTTGGAAACCCAGATATTTATCATGCCGGGGGGGGGAGGCAATGTCTCTTGATTATGGGGACTTTCCATCACCAGGCACCTGCTAGTCCTCTCTATACCTTCCCTTCAGGAAAGGAATTGTCCCTCATGGGATTCCAGGGAAGAGACCCCAGGACCCCTATCAGTCACTAGGGAGATGACAGAGTAGAGGAAGTCAGGGGACCAACCCTCCACAGAGAATGGTCCTACTTCAGTGGGGTGAGGGAAACTCTCACTCATCCATTTGCTGTCCTGTTACCTCGGAACCCTAAGAGAACTTGTTAGTCACACACAGAATCTACCCCTGAATGTGGTGTGCAAAGTGGGGCTCTTAGCCTCCAGTGTGAAGTCCCTGGGAAGATGGAATGTCCCTGTGTGAGTGAAGGCTGTGCCACCGCCCAGCTATGTGGCCTTGGGCTAGGCAACCCCTCCCAGGTCCCCAGTTCCCCATCTGCATCGGAGACTGTGGCCAGTGCGGGAATCCACAAGGCCCTTCAGCCTCCAAAGCTCTGGGACAGAGGCCTCGTCCACAGGGAGGAAGGGGTCAGAGTGACCTGAGTCCCTACTCAGGAGCGAGTCTAATCCACTCTCCATCGGGGCCTGTGGGGAAGGGAAGATGAAGAAACGGAGCCTGCACCTGGCTATGTGGGCGCAGTAGATTAAGGGGAGGATGAGGGTTCCTGAGAGTGTGTCATGTGGCAGAGACCCTGCAGCACACTCAGGAAGGGCTCTGGAAGGATCCAAGGAAATTTTCCAAGAAGAGGGCAGAGTAAGTGACAGAGACCCTCAACCATGGATTTCACTGAGGTGCCCATGATGACATAGGGAGAACGGGGGTGTCTGGGCAGGAAGAATATCGTCAGGGTGAAATGAATGGTGATGAGCTTCGTGTCAGAGCTCCTGTGGAGGGAGGGGCCTGGCCCACATGAAAAGGTCTCTGATCCTACCCCAGCCCCCAGCCCCTGTTCTCCAGGATGACACTGTGGGAATTCCATCAGGAGGGGTGTGATAGGGCTGGTCTTCCTGGCTCGATTCACAACACTGGCTGGGGACTGGGAACCCATGGGGAGCCACAGGTGGAAAGGGAGGAGCCTCAGTGAACCCAGCAGGAACAAACATAGGGTCTGACATGATGGAACTCACTTCCTGGAGGCCAAGAAAGACACTTGCGGGACAAAAGGGAAAGAGCGGTGGCTTGCTTAGTTCCATTCACTGACAACCCACAGGAGATGTCCAGTCCTTTTTTGATTTATTATTTTATTTTATTATATTTTATTTTATTTTATTTTATTTTCACATGGAGTTTTGCTCCTATTGGCCAGGCTGGAGTGCAATGGCACGATCTTGACTCACTGCAACCTCCACCTCTCAGGTTCAAGCGATTCTCCTGCCTCAGCCTCCTGCATAGCTGGGATTACAGGCGACTGCCACCACAGCCAGGTAATGTTTGTATTTTTAGTAGAGATGAGGTTTTGCCATCTTGGCCAGGCTGGTCTCAAACTCCTGATCTCATGTGATCCGCCTGTATCAGACTGCCAAAGTGTTGGGATTACAGGCGTGAGCCACCACACCCAGCCTTTTGTATTTTTAGTAGAGATGGGGTTTCACCATGTTGGTCAGGCTGGTCTTAAACTCCTGACCTCAGGTGATCCATCCACCTCGGCCACCCAAAGTGCTGGGAGTACAGATGTTAGCCACCGTACCCAGCGAGAGTTTCAGTGCTCTATCGGATTCCCTGCCTACTCCATGTTGCATGTAATGTTCCACCTCAGGGATGTTTCTCTCCTTTCTGTCTCCTTCCTCTTCTCCTTCTCCTTTTTTCTTTCTAATTTTTATTTTTTTGAGACAGAGCCTTGCTCTGTTACCCAGGCTAGAGTACAGTGGCACGATCCCAGCTCACTGCAACCTCTGCCTCCTGGGTTCAAGAGATTCTCCTGACTCAGCCTCTCAAGTAGCTGGGATTACAGGCACCCGCCATCACACCCAGCTAGTTTTTGTATTTTTAGTAGAGACGAGGTTTCACCATGTTGGCCAGACTGGTCTTGAACTCCTGCCCTCAGGTAATCCACCCGCCTGTGGCCCCCCAAAGTGCTGGGATTACAGGCGTGAGTCACCACTCCCAGCCCTGAATGATCTTTCCTCTTTAGTGTGTTCTCACAACCACCTCTCACTGAGCTTTCTTGTTTTTTGTTTTTGTTTTTGTTTTTGTTTTTGTTTTTGGCAGAGTCTGGCTTTGTTGCCTATGCTGGAGTGCAGTGGTGCAATCTCAGCTCACTGCAACCTCCGTCTCCTGGGTTCAAGCGATTCTCCCACCTCAGCCTCCTGAGTAGCTGGGATTACAGGCACCCACCACCACACCCAGCTAATTTTTGCATTTTTAGTAGACACAGGGTTTCACCATGTTGGTCAGGCTGGTCTCGAACTCCTGACCTTGTGATCTGCCAGCCTCAGCCTCCCAAAGTGCTGGAATTACAGGCATGAGCCACCACTCCCAGCCCTGGATTATCTTTCCTCTTTAGTGTGTTCTCACAACTACCTCTCACTGCTGGGTTTTCTCTCTTTCTTTTTTTTTTTTTTTTTTTTTTTTTTTGAGACAGTCCGGCTTTGTTGCCCAGGCTGGAGTGCAGTGGCGCGATCTCGGCTCACTGCAAGCTCCACCTCCCAGGTTCAAGCGATTCTCCCACCTCAGCCTCCCTAGTAGCTGGGATTACAGGCGCATGCCAGCACACCCAGCTAGTTTTTGTATTTTTAGTAGAGACAGGGGTTTCACCATGTTGGTCAGGCTGGTCTTGAACTCCTGACCTTGTGATCTTCCTGCCTCGGCCTCCCAAAGTGCTGGGATTACAGGTGTAAGCCACTGCACCCAGCCAGCTTTCTCATTCTTATCCCTTAGTTCTCTGCCAGGGAATAAGATAGAAACCATTCCCTCAACCACATTCTAGTCATGGTCCCTATTCTCATGTTTCCACTTCTCTCTCTTTGGTAATAAATCAATTAATTGAGAAACAAGTAGCTAAATGTTCATCTTCTGCTAGTCTGCATCCCCTTATTTTCCCAGAGCCTCCCCTAATGAAACTGACTTTATTTACTGAACGCAGGAAATGGGTCTCTCCAGATCAGGATGACTTTCTGCTGGGAAATATTTGTCTTTGCATCAGTGGGGAAAAAGAAAGCCGATGTCATGAGTGGAGGCTCTGAGAAAATAAGGGCTGTGTTTTCAGTTTAGACCCAGCTAAGTTGGGAGCTGACATAGATATGATGTTGGGTCCACCCTCCACGGGCAGGTTTTCAGACAAAGGATCCCTGGCAATCAGGGGACACCTCAGGTCTGGGCTGAGATGTGTGCAGAGGGCCTGGGTCCTCCTGAGCCCCTGCACTGGGGGGGGAATAAGAGACAGGCCCAGCAAGGGGCTGTCCACTTCCTGTGGGTTCACAGCTGTGGGGACCCAGGCAGGCGGCAGCAGGCTCTGACTTAACCACATCCGTGCATCTGTCTGTCATGGAGGGCCATGTGGTCACCTGTCCCACAGCTGGAGCACGCAGAGCAGGCATCATGGTGTCCATCCTCACTGTTCTTCTGTGCCTCAGTCAGTGGTGGAGAGACGAGGGACAGGAGGGGCACTGGGCTGAGGTGGGGAGGGTCCCACAGCAGCCTTGTTCACCAGAGAGCCTCAGGGCTCCAGTGGCTACTGGTGCTCCAACAGGAAGGGAAGCAGCCACACCTCTGTGTTCCAAATCCCCCACAGGAAACTCTTCTCCATGGCTGAGTCTGGGCCAGAAAGCCCAAGCACTTGCAGGTGAGTCTCTGCTAACCTCCCATGCCTGACCTCACACTCAGCACCTGGACTCTCATCTCAGGGGCTTCTGAACTGAGGGTGAGAAAATCAAGAGGGTCTGTGACCTGAGCTGGGAATGAGGAGCGGGGGAGGTCTGTGGACCCCAGCCTGTGGTTTCTTCCAGGGACCCTCCCCAAACCCAGCCTCTGGGCTGAGCCAGGCTCTGTGATTACCTGGGAGAGCCCCATGACCCTCTGGTGCCAGGGGACCCTGGATACCCAGGGTTACTATCTCACCAAGGAAGGAAACCCCATGACCTGGTACCAACAGAGCCCACCAGAGCCCAGGAACAAGACCAACTTCTTCATCCCATCCATGAGAGAGCACCATGCAGGGAGATACCACTGTCACTATCTCAGCCCTGCAGGCTGGTCAGAGCGCAGCGAGCCCCTGGAGCTGGTGGTGACAGGTAAGAGGACACTCAGGGGTCCCAGCCCCAGGCTCTGCCTGCAGGAAGGGGGTCAGCTCTCAAGGGCATCTCCGTTCTAATAACTCAGCCCTGGGGGATGATGTGGGACGCGTGAGCCCCATTTAAGACAGTGTCTCCTTCTCTCCTAGGAGCCCACAGAAAACCCACTCTCTCAGCCCTGCCGAGCCCTGTGGTGACCTCAGGAGAGAACGTGACCATCCAGTGTAGCTCAAGGGTGGGATTTCACAGGTTCATTTTGATTGAGGAAGGAGAAAACAAGCTCTCCTGGATGCTGGACTCACAGGAACTCTCCAAGGGGCTGTCCCTTGTCCCTGGCCCTGTTCCCTGTGGGCCGTGTGGCTGCCAGTCACCGGTGGATGTTCAGATGCTATGGGCATTACACGAACTTCCCCTGGGTGTGGTCGGAACCCAGTGATACCATGGAGATCCTGGTCTTAGGTATGGATGTCTTCCTCCTTGCCCTATTTATTTTTGAGAACTTACTCTCACGGAGCCCCATGTAGGAGGGTGGAACAAGGGAAGTTTGGGACTCCTGAGCCCAGAGACACTGAGTGTGAGAGACAGTGAGACCTGCAGGGCCAGGAGGGGAGAAGGAAGGGGTGTGGGAGGAACCAGCCCTCCTAGTCCCGACTCTTCTTTCCCTCCAGGCGTGTCTAGGAAGCCCTCCCTCCTGACCCTGCAGGGCCCTGTCGTGGCCCCTGGGGAGAATCTGACCCTCCAGTGTGGCTCTGATGTCGGCTATGACAAATTCACTCTGTACAAGGAGGGGGGACATGACCTCGTCCAGGGCTCTGGCCGGCAGCCCCAGGCTGGGCTCTCCCAGGCCAACTTCACCCTGGGCCCTGTGAGGGTCTCCCACGGGGGCCAGTACAGATGCTACGGTGCACACAACCTCTCCTCCGAGTGGTCGGCCCCCAGTGACCCCCTGAGCATCCTGATCGCAGGTGAGGAGCCCAGCAGGTTCAGTCAGGGACCCAGGCTCCGCACAGGCCCTGCTGGGGGAGCCCAGGTGGTGATGGCCGGGATGAGGGGTGGGGGTCCTAAGGGACGGAGAGACAGACAGAGACAGGGGATGGGCGGGGAGGGGGAGACTCAGAGAAAACAGAGACAGAGACACTGAGGGTCCCAGGGAGAGGCCTGGGGAGGTGTCAGCTCAGAACGAGGTGGGGCAGCCCCTCACCCATCCTTCTTCTCTCCAGGACAGATCCGTGGCAGACCCTCCCTCTCGGTGCAGCCGGGCCCCACGGTGGCCTCAGGAGAGAACGTGACCCTGCTGTGTCAGTCACGGGAGCAGTTGGACACTTTCCTTCTGACCAAGGAGGGGGCAGCCCATCACCCACTGCGTCTGAGATCAGAGCACCAAGCTCAGCAGCACCAGGCTGAATTCCCCATGAGTCCTGTGACCTCAGCCCACGCGGGGACCTACAGGTGCTACAGCTCACGCAGATTCTTCCCCTACCTGCTGTCTCACCCCAGTGACCCCCTGGAGCTCGTGGTCTCAGGTGAGGCCGCTGACCCTGTCCTCTCTGAGCTCAAACCTCAGCTCAGGCCCTGCCCCCAGGAGAGCTCAGGACGCTAAGGAAAGAGGGGAGTAAAGGGGGAGGGTCGGCAGGGGAGGGCCCAGCCCATGAGAGGGTGGAAATAGTCAGGGACCTCCTAATCCTGGGCTCCCACCCCAGAGACCTCAGATGGGGCTAAAGGCCAGGGAGGGCTGAAATGAGATATGGAGAAACCTTGGAGGAATCATGCTTAGGCTGAGGGTAGAAGATGGAGGCCCCACCCACTCCCCACCTGGGCTCCCCTGGCGGCCCCAAAATACTCAGTGCATACCTGAGACGAAGGGGAGATCATGCACCTGCTCACTGCAGCAATGCAGGCAAATTATTCAACAGCAAACCTCGTGTGCAATTCCTTTCTGTCCTTTATTTTTTATGTCCACATATCTAGTTTCTCTTTCTGTTTCTGAAGATTTCAAAGCAATGCTGGCATTTATAATTTACACATTTAATTTGTTAGGTAGCGTTATGATGTAAAATAACTGTGCTCTGATTTTCTTTGGGATTAAATTAAATATGTGCATTCATGATGGAGAATAACTTCTCATTAATAATGTCTTTGTATCCAATACATTTAAAATTAAACTTTATACAGTTAGCAGATGCTTGAAGTTGTATTCATAAAAATTGTGGACATTGTGAATTTTAAGCATTGTTTTACTACTTGAATAATTTGAAAGTCTTTGATTCCTTTCTATTTTCTAAAATTAGTTACGTATGGATGAGAAAGCTATTGGTTTGGGTATGCTAATTTTAGTTCCTATTAACTTACCACAGACACACTCCCTTTCAATCCTTTCCGAAATGATCTCTTCTGATTTATTGATAATAATTACATTAACCACAAGAAAATGGAGGACAAACTTGTTTGTTTCTAAATTATATAATACTCTTCTCACTTCAAATATATATGTATGTGTTTATATATACTCACACACTATTATATATCTTATAATATATATTATGTATTATATATTTATATATACACTATTATATATCTTATATATTATGTATTATATATTTATATATACCCACACATTATTATATCTTATAATATATATTATGTATTATATATTTATATATACCCACACATTATTATATCTTATAATATATATTATGTATTATATATTTATATATGCACTATTATATATCTTATATATTATGTATTATATATTTATATTACCCACACATTATTATATCTTATAATATATATTATGTATTATATATTTATATATACACACACTATTATATATCTTATTATATATTATGTATTATATATTTATATATACTATTATATATCTTATAATATATAATGTATTATATATTTATATATACACACACTATTATATATCTTATATATTATGTATTATATATTTATATATACATACTATTATATATCTTATAATATATTATGTATTATATATTTATATATATACACTATTATATATCTTATTATATATTATATATTTATATATGCACACACTATTACATATCTTATTATATATTTATATGTATACACACACTATTATATATCTTATTATATATTATGTACTATATATTTATATATACTATTATATATCTTATAATATATAATGTATTATATATTTATATATACACACACTATTATATATCTTATATATTATGTATTATATATTTATATATACATACTATTATATATCTTATAATATATTATGTATTATATATTTATATATATACACTATTATATATCTTATTATATATTATATATTTATATATGCACACACTATTACATATCTTATTATATATTTATATGTATACACACACTATTATATATCTTATTATATATTATGTACTATATATTTATATATACTATTATATATCTTATAATATATAATGTATTATATATTTATATATACACACACTATTATATATCTTATATATTATGTATTATATATTTATATATACATACTATTATATATCTTATAATATATTATGTATTATATATTTATATATACACACTATTATATATCTTATTATATATTATATATTTATATATGCACACACTATTACATATCTTATTATATATTTATATGTATACACACACTATTATATATCTTATATATTATATATTTATATATACTCACACTATATCTTATAATACATATTATGCATACACATATGCATAATACATATTATCTATACACATATGCATAATACATATTATGTATACACATATGCATAACACATATTATGTATACACACATATTTACACCTATGCATATATGTATGTATGTATGCGAATGTACCTCTGCCACGGCAGGGAAAGGTTCTATCACACAACTACAGAGCAGTTAGGAGAAGTGTAGACACAAAGGAATGCAGCAACTGAGGGACATGTTGGCTTAAGTCTCTTCAACTCCTCACACACCTCCCCCTTTTTTGGTTGATTCTCAGGAGCAGCTGAGACCCTCAGCCCATCGCAAAACAAGACAGACTCCAAGACTGGTGTGTAAGGAGATGCTCTCGGTTATGGGGCTGGCACAGAGGGTCAGGTCCTGTGAAGGGGAGGTGGGTGCCCCTGGGTGGACATCCAGGGGTCCCGGGTGATGTTGATCTGCCCTGACCTCTGAGACCTCTTGGTCCACCATCCCCAGCCTCACACCCCCAGGATTACACAGTGGAGAATCTCATCCGCGTGGCTGTGGCTGGCTTGGTCCTGGTGGTCCTCGGGATTCTGCTGCTTTAGGACTGGCACAGCTAGAGAAGTCCCCAAGATGCAGCAAGGAGGTAAATACATGAGAGAACAATGCACCCTTCAGAGTGCCAGAGCCTTGGCAATGAATCTGATAGTCCTAGGAGGTTCTGGAAGAAAGTCTGGACCATCATTCGGGAAACCGTCTACTGAGAAAGTCGAGAAGGGGAGGCTTGGGTCAGGTTCAGGAAGATGTCTGGGTGCCTGTAGAGAACGCTTCCTCCATTAAACTTCCATTAAATGGCAGTGCTTTCAGTCCTGCTGTTGTGGATCCTCCGTGTCTGCCCCTCCCTTCCTTTCGCTCTCTGTGATGTGAAGGCACGTCCCCCATGGTGGGTTTGCATCCACACCCCTGCGATCACGTGCTCTGGTCCACTGTCATGTAATACATTTGTCTTTGTTTCCAACTACCGCATTCTCTAAAGTGAACTATTGATTCTCCATCTTTTCAGTTCTGAGCATAGATCTGGATTAAATAACTGGAATAGGTGGGCAGATTTGTATTTGGGACTTTGAAACATGAGTCTGAGGCCAGGCACAGTGGCTCACACCTGTAATCCCAGCACTTTGGGAGGCTGAGGTGGGCGGATCACTTGAGGTCAGAAGTTCGAGACCAACCTGGCCAACATGGTGAAACCCTGTCTCTACTAAAAGATACAAAAATTAGCTGGGTGTGGCAGTGAGCACCTGTAATCCCAGCTGCTCAGGAAGCTGAGGCGGGAGAATAGCTTGAACCCGGGAGGCGGAGGTTGCAGTGAGCCAAGATCTTGCCACTGCACTCCAGCCTGGGCAACAGAGCAAGACTCCATCTCCAAAAAAAAAAAAAAAAAGGGAAATATGAGTCTGAAATGATGCCCTAGCACCCTCTCTGGACCCTGAATTCCCTTCACTCTTCATCGGATGATACCTGTGTACTTTGTCCAGAAATATCATCTCTCAGAATGAGCACACTAACGCTCGAAGGCTCAGCCTCATGGTATTCTGTTAAACTGGCTCTCTGAAAAAATTATTTTCTTAAGAAAACTCTGAACATATAAAGCCCCAGATTTATGGTATTTGCTGATTAGTGTGGTATAAATACGTCCTTTATGGCCAACTTCAGGGTGCCCATATGACGCCATTGAATGCACAGTTGGGAAGTAGTCAAAAGAATTGTCGTTCACACGAGTATGAACCAGTTGTAAAGTTTATTTAAAGGTTATAATAATTTCTGCTTCATTCTTATGGTGTAGTTTCAGTAAAATTGTAATGTCAAAAATCATAGCACAATGGAGGGAAAAGAAAAAAATAGGCCGGGTGTGGTGGCTCATGCCTGTAATCCCAACACTTTGGGAGGCCGAGGCAGGAGGATCACCTGAGGTCAGGAGTTCGAGACCAGCCTGGCCAACATGGTGAAACGCTGTCTCTACTAAAAATACAAAAATTAGCCAGACATGGTGGTGCCTGCCTGTAATCCCAGCTACTTGGGAGGCCAAGGCACGAGAATCGCATGAACCCAGGAGGCGGAGGTTGCAGTGAGCCGAGATCACTACAGCCTGGGTGATAGAGCAAGACTCAGTCTCAAGAAAAGAAAAAAGTAGCAAAATCATTTTTTGGAAAGAATATTGAACATGTAGAATTTTAGTACATTAATAGTAAGAGTACAAATTGCTTTAATCAATTAAGGAAGTGTATTGGAATTATCTAGTTAAAAAGAGGAGGCACATGGCTGTGACCCTTCTTAATTATGTACTTAATTATGTACCCTAGAGATAAATGTCTACTTATGTGTCATGATACACTCACAACTGTTATAGGAATGCTGTTCCTATTAGCCAAAGCTATAAAATACCAAAGTCCACCTACGAAAAAAATAAACATAGTGTGGTAAATAGACTCAGTGGAATATTACAAGGTAGTAAAATGCATAAATGAAAATAACAAACAGCACCATACTTCAATTTTCAAGCATAAAGTCAAGTAAATGAAGTATTATTTGAAAATGTGTGCATGGTTATTTCATTACATAAAGGTCAAAAGGAGGGTACATTTATTATTTAGGAAAACACACCTAAGATATCTTTGTAAAATCTGTAAAATCAATAGTACTGTTTCCCCTCTTTCATTCCTTATCTTGAAAATGCTTGTCTCTTTTTCTGCCATGGCTTTCTACCTTGCTTGATATATTACAATTTTGTAACCTGCTTATTTCATCATATGTCATAAGTTCACATGTATATCCCATGAATTATTGAGGGTCTTATTCATTTCAAGTGGCATTTAGGTTTTTAAAAATATCTTTTGGCGACCAGGTGCAGTGGCTCATGCCTGTAATCCCAGCACTTTGGGAAGCCAAGGCAGGTGGATCACGAGTTCAAGAGACAGAGATCATCCTGGCGAACATGGTGAAACCCCGTCTCTACTAAAAATACAAAAAAAAAAAAAAAAATAGCTGGGCATGGTAGAGGGTGCCTGTAGTCCCAGCTTCTCAGGAGGCTGAGGCGGGAGAATGGCATGAACCCGAGAGACGGAGGTTGCAGTGAGCCGAGATCGTGCCACTGCACTCCAGCCTGGCAACAGAGTGAGACTCTGTCTCAAAAAAAAAAAAAAAAGAAAGAAAGAAAGGAAGAAAAAAAAATCTTCTGGCATTAACTATTAAGAAATTGCACTATAAAAAGAGAATATAATGCATAAGACGGCAATTTGAAAAGATTCAGATATAATTTTTTCTTATCTAGTAAATACTTAGTAATTTGTCTAATGCATGCCTTAAATACATACCACTTTATGCAGAGGTTGCCATGAGCCGAGATCGCGCCGTTGCACTCTAGCCTGGGTGGCAGAGCAAGACTCCATCTCAAAAAAAAAAAAGAAAATCTCACAGAAGGAGACCCAGAGCTTCCAGCCTCGCCCAGAGTCTTGGCTCACTCCCTGTGTGTGTGGACCCTAGGGAGCCTCTTCTGTTCCCCACAGAGGTGGAAACTTCCTCCTTAATAACCCCTTGATGGTCCCAGGCACTGGTGACCACTGAGCTTTGCTCTCTCTTTTTTCTTATGGTTCCCTGTCTACTTCCAGGGCTATCACTTTACTTTTTGTGCATTAGACCATGAATAATGTTTTAGAAACATTCTATCAAATTTCTCAGTGCTAGGAACAACTGAGGTTTTTGATTGGGTGCCTCAAATGTCTACCCTTACTGTGGAGTCCGACAACAGGATTCTAACAAGTCCCAACCCCTTCATGCCTTAACCTGGTCTGGAAATAAATTATGTTTAAGCCATCCCATACCCCAGCCACATCAAGCCCCACAACCACTCTGAGAAGTGAGATTTATAGCAAAATGCTCCAAACAAGGTAACTAAGGTTCAGACAAGGGATGTTAATGTGTCCATTTACATAAACAAAAAATGGTAGATGATCAGCTTTCCCTTTGAAATCAGAGTACTAATCTGACTCATTGTTCCCTGAATTTTAGAGGCAGGACCTCAGGAGGAGCTAAGAATCCTACCCCAGGAAAATTACCAATATCAGAAAGGAAACAATGACATCAGTACAGATCCTACAGAATTCAAAAGATTCTAAGTGGACATTATGAAGACATTATTCAGCTTAGATGAAGTGGTCACATATCACAAGAAAACAAACTGTCTAAAACAATCTCTGAAATACCTAGACATTCCCTGAATCATTGAGTTATTAAATAAAATACATTTTAAAATTAAACTCTTTTCAGGAAATAAACTTCAATGTCCCCTAGTGCACTCTCCAAAACATGTAGATGGGAATAAATACTGTTCTGAAAGACATTTCCCTGGAATTACAACCATTCAATATATTTTAAAAGGCAATCATAAAAATATAAAAAGGATATATCAGGAGAAGAAATGTAAATGGCCTAAATTCCCCACATAAAAGGCATAGAGTGGCAACGTGGATAAAAAGCCAAGAGCCAACTGCCTGCTGTCTTCAAGAGACCCATCTCACATGTAATGACACCCACAGGCTCAAAGTAAAAGGATGAAGAAATATTTACTAGGCAACCAGGAAACAAAAAAAAGGAAGGCATTCCTATTCTTATATCACATGAAACACACTTTAAATCAACAGCAATCAGGAAGGACAAAGAAGGGCATTACAAAATGATAAAGGGTTCAATTTGACAGAAGACTTAACTATTCTAAATATATATGCACCCAAATTTGGAGCACCCCGATTCATAAAACAAGTTATTCTTCACCTATGAAAAGAGTTAGACAGCCACACAATAATAGTAAGGGACTTCAGTATCCCACTAACAACGTCAGATGAATCACTAAAACAGAAAACTAACAAAGAAATTCTGGTCTTAAAGACAACACTTGACCAATTGGACCTCATAGACATCTACAGAGTACTCCACCCAACAACTGCAGAATATAGATTCTTCTTATCTGCACACACAAAAAACATATCATATTCTAAGACTGGCCACAAAGCAAGTCTCAATAAATTCAAAGAATCAAAATCATAACAAGGCACACAATAAAAATAGAAAAAAATACCAAGATGATCTCTCAAAACTACAGAAAAACATGGAAATTTAACAACTTGTTTCTGAATGAATATTAAGAGCCATCTATGACAAATCCACAGCCAACATCATATTGAATGGTCAAAAGCTGGAACTGTACCCCTTGAGAACTCTTGGGTGAACAATGAAATTAAAGCAGAAATCACAAAACATTATTTAAAATTAATAAAAATAGAAACAAACTTACCAAAACCTTTGGGATGCAGTTAAAGCAGTGATAAGAGGAAAATTTATAGCAATACATGCCTCATCAGAAGTTTAGAAAGATCTCAAATTAGTGACTTAACACTGCATCTAGAGGAACTATTAAAAAAAAGGAACAGTCCAAACCCAAGGCCAGCAAAAGATGAGAAATAACTAAAGTCAGAGAGAACTGAATAAATTGAGACCAAAAAGTCCATACAAGAGATAAATAAAACCAAGAGTTTTTCTTTGAAAAAAAATAAACAAAATTCATAGACTGTTAGCTAGATTAACAAAGAAAAAGAGAAAAGATCCAAATAAACACAAATAGAACTGACAAAACAATGTTACGAACAATCCCACAGAAATAGAAAAGATCGTCAAAGACTATTATGAACACCTCTATACAAACAAGCTAGAAAACCTAGAAGAAATGGATAAATTCCTGGTAACACAAAATTTATCATATTTCAACCAGGAAGAAAGTGAAAACCTGAACAGACCAATAACAAGTTCAGAAATTTAATCAGTAATAAAAACCCTACTAACTAAAAATAGCCCAGGACCAGATGGATTCACAGCCAAAATCCAACAGCCATACAAAGAAGAACTGATACCGATCTTACTGAAACTTTTGGAAAAAATCAAGGAGTGGGGGCTTCTTCCTAACTCATTCTATGAAGCCATCATCACCATGATACCAACATCTGTCAGAGACATAATGAAAAAAAGAAAACTACAACTAAATATCCTTAATGAACATAGACATAAAATCCTCAACAAAATGCTAGCAAATTGAATCTGTCAGTGCATCAAAAGTTAATTCACATGATCAAGTAAGCTTTATTTTTGGGATGCAAGGTTGGTTCAACCTACAAAGTCAACGAATGTGATTCACCTCATAAACATAATTAAAAACAAAAACTATATGATCATCTCAATAGATGCAGAAAAAGCTTTCTGTAAAATCCAACATCCCTTCATGATAAAAACTGTCAATAGGCATCAAAGGAACATACCTCAAAATATTAAGAGCCATCTATGACAAACCCACAGCCAACATCATATTGATGGGCAAAAGCTGGAACCATACCCCTTGAGAACCGAAACAAGACCAGGATGACCACTCCCGCCATTTTAATTCAACATGGTACTGGAAGTCCTAGCCAAAGCAATCAGGCAAGAGAAGGAAATAAAAGGCATTAAAATTGGAAAAGAAGTAGTGATACTGTCTCTCTTTGCTGATGAAATAATTTTATACATAGAAAACCCTAAAGACTCTGTCAGAAGGCTCCTGAAACTGATAAACAAATTCAATAAAGTTTCGGGATTAAAAAAATGTACACAAATTAGTAACATTTCTATGCACCACTAACATTCTAGCTGAGAACTAAATCAAGAACACAATTCCATTTACACTAGCCACAAAGAAAATAAAATACCTAGGAATCCATCTAACCAAGAAGGTGAAAATTCTCTACAAGGAGAACTACAAAACACTTCTGAAAGAAATAAGAAATGATACAAACAAATGGAAGAATATTCCATGCTCATGAATTAGGAGAACAAATAGTTAAAATCGCCATACTTCCAAAAACAAATTGCAGACTCAATGCTATCCATTTCAAAATGCAATGTCATTTTTCACGAAATTATAAAAATTTATTCTAAAATGTATTTGGCACCAAAAAAAGAGCCTGAATACACATAGGAATCCTAAGCACAAAGAACAAAGCCCAGGCATCACATTACCCAACTTCAAACTATACTACAATGCTATAGTAACCCAAACAGCATGATACTACTACAAAAACAGACACATAGACCAATGAGACAGAATAGAGAACCCAGAAATGAGGCTACATACCTACAATCATCTTTGAAAAAATTGACAAAAACAAGCAATGTGGAAAGTACCCTTTCTTCAATAAATAGTTCTGGGATAACTGACTACTCATATGCAAAATAATAGAACTGGACCCCTAACTCTCACTATATACAAAAATTAACCCAAGATAGTTTAAAGATTTAAATGTAAAACCTCAAAATATTAAAATTCTAGAAGAAAACCTAGGAAATATCCTTCTCAAGATAGACTTTGGCAAAGAATTTATGGCTAACTCCCCAAAACCAATTGTGACAAAGACAGAAATTGGGACCTAACTCAACTGAAGAGCTTCTGCACAGCAAACGAAAGTATCAACAGAGTAAACAGATAACCTACAGACTGGGAGAAAATATTTGCAAACTATGCATCTGACAAAGTTCTAATATCCAGAATCTATAAGGAATGTAAACAAATCAACAAGCAGAAAACCAAAAAACCTCAATTAAGTATGACATGAACAGACACTTCTCAAAAGAAGATGTACACATGGCCAAAAAACATATGAACAAATGCTTATTATCAGTAATCATCAGAGAAATGCAAATTAAAACCACAGTGAGATACCATCTCACAACAATCAGAGAAGCAGAAGCAATTACTAAAAAGTTTTTTGTTTTTTTTAATAACAGATGCTGACAAGATTGTGGAGAAAAGGGAACACTTATACACTCTTGGTGGGAATGTTAACTAGTTCAGCCAATGTGATAAGCAGTTTGGAGACTTCTCAAATAACTTAAAATAGAACTACTATTCAATCAAGCAATCCCACTACTGGGTATATACCAAAAGGAAGGTAATTAACTATGTCAAAAAGACACATGCACTAGTATATTCATTGCTGTGCAATTCAGAATAGCAAAGATTTGCAGTCAACCTAAGTGCTCACCAACAGTGGATTAGTTAAAGAAAATGTGCTACATATACACATGGAACATTACATGGCCATAAAAAATAATGAAATCATGTCCTTTGCAGCAACATGAATGTAGCAGGAGGTCAATCTCCTAAGTGAACTAACCCAGGAACAGAAAACCAAATACCACATGTTATCACTTATAACTGAGAACCAAACATTGAATACACATGAACATAAAGATGGAAACAACAGATACCGAGGACTACAGATGGGGGGAGGAGTAGGGAGGTATAGGCTGAAGAAACACCTGTTGGATTCTATGCTCATTGCCTGGGTGATGGCATTGTTGGAACCACAAACCTCAGAGTCACACAATATGCCTATGTAACAAACCTGCATGCATACCTTTAATCTACAGTAAAGGTTGAAGTTATTTAAAAATAGGAAGAAGAATTACCCTATACCTAAAGCTAAGATTTTTCCCTTTGAATATTCGTTTCTTCATCACTGTAGATAAGCAGGGAAAGAAAAATTATTATACTATACTAGCCTTTTATGTGACCATGAGGATTTGGGGTAGGTAGGTGGACAGCTTAGATAATTCACCAGGATATTGATACAGGCTCCATGGCTGGAAATAACCAAGGATGAGTGCTGTGTTTTGAGTGGTCTCCCCCAGAAACGTTTGTTGAAATCCTAACCCCTGGTATGTATGAATGTGAATTCATATTATATAAAAAGGAATAAATAGCCTGAGCACAGTGGCTCACACCTGTAATCCCAGCACTTTGGGAGGCCAAAGCAGGTGGATCATTTGAGGTCAGGAGTTCTGGCCAATATGGCAAAACTTCATCTCTACAAAAAAAAAATACAAAAAAAAAAATTGGCTGGGTATGGTGGCGCATGCCTGTAGTCCCAGCTACTCAGGAGGCTGAGGCAGGAATTGCTGAAACCTGGAAGGCAGAGGTTGCAGTGAGCCAAGATCATGCCACTGCACTCCAGCCTGGGTGAGATGGCAAGATATTCTGTCAAAAATAAATAAATAAAAAACAGAAGAAGAAATACAAGAATGACAGCAAACTTTGTATTCAAAACTATGAAAGTAAGAAATAGGTGGACCAACATTTTTAAAGTGCTACAAGAAAATATTTCAAACTAGAATCTTTCAACCTGAAAAGGAAAACATTTTCCTGCAATAAAGGTGCCATTAAAAATGTCTCACAATTTATTACATGAAGCATTGTTCTACAATAAATGTTAAGCTCTTGAAGCAAAGATTAATGATACCATTTAGTAACTTGAAATTCAAAAAAGTGGAAGTATCCCAAGAGGCAAATACGTGTGCAATTATTAAATGTTTCATATCAACACCCAACCTTATGCTGTCTACATAAGCTGCACTTCAAATACTAATCCACAAGATGTAAATATTGAAAGAATGACATTACATTGTCATGATAATGCCCAGTGCAAAATATGCTTCTAGTCAGTTGTATACATAGAATAGGTAAATGTTTGTAATAAAAAGTATTCCTCAATAGAAGTTTCTTAACTCAAAGAATGAAATATTTCACCATGCACATACAAAGAAGAGATATATGGAGATATGAAGAGGAGTACTTCATAATGACAAAGAGGCAAATTCATAAATAAGACATAATAATCCTAAATGCCTACACACCTAAAGCTGGAACCTCAAAACACATTAAATTAAAGGCATAATTCAAAACATAATCAATCACATCCAAATTGCAGCTAGAGATAGCAACATTCACCTCACTTCCAGAACAAGTACACAGAAAATTATTAAGCATATGAAAGACTTGAAAAACATTTGTGTAGGCGGCGGGTGCATAAGGTTGGGTGTTGATATGAAACATTTAATAATTTCAATAATCCTAGCACTTTGGGAGGCCAAAATGGGAGGATCACTTGAGGCCAGGAGTTTGAGACCAGCCTGGGCACCATAGTGAGACCCCGTCTCTATTTTTTTTAAATAAAGAAAAACATTTGAATGATTTTTTTCTTAACTGACATTTAGAAAACATCCACCTCAAATCTTCCTAATCCACAAACTTGTCTAGCACCCCTGGAACATTCACCAAAATAAATTTTTAAATGCTGAATCATAGGTAATATGATAGATGAAACAGTTGAATTAAATTATAAATGTACAACAAGGAAATGCTGGGGAAATTATCAAATATTTTAAAATTAATAAACACACATAGCAATAAACAATGAGTGGAAGAAAAACATTTCAAAGAAAGGTGGAAAATATTTTGTATCAATTAAAAATGAAAACACATCTCGGCAAATGACTGGGGATACAGATAGAACAGTGTTAAAGGAAAATAAGCCTCAAATGTCTGTGTTAGAAAAGAAGGAAGAGCTGAGTAAATAGGTAACTTTCGCTTGCAGAAATACTACACATCAGCAAATTAATTCCAAAGTAACGTCGAGGAAAAACATAAAATGGCAAGCAAATATATACGTGCATATGTACGTATATTCATAAATGACAAACAGGACAGAAAAATCAGTGACATCAATTTTGTTCCTTAGAAGAAACAGGAAAATTGACCCCAAAAAACTTTCCAGGCCACATTTGGTCATGATGGAAATATTTTGGCACTTCCTGGTTAAGCTCAACACCAACTTGCACCCAAAACCAATAATTTCATTCCTAGGTAAATATGTCTAATTAATTCAGCATATGTATGCAAGGGATCACACAGAAACACGATTATCAAGGCCCGAGTTATAAAAGAGAAAATCCGGAAACAACACAAATGTCCATGATAAAAAGAGTGGATAATTACATGTTGATAAAGTTATGTATGGACTATTAAACTGCAATCCAAAAGAATAAAATAGAACTATAAAATTCAATATGTATATGGTGTCATAGAAACACAAATGTGAGAAAAAGAAAGAAAAATACAAAATTTATATTTTTTAAAATTTGAAACAACTATATATGTGAGTGCTTAGGGTGTGTGTGTGTGTGTGTGTGTATAACCATATGTATATAAACGCACACATACGCACACATATAGAATGTCCCGGCCAGGCATGGTGGCTCACACCTGTAATCTCAGCACTTTGGGAGGCTGAAGTAGACAGATCACTTGAGGTTAGGAGTTCAAGACCAGCCTGGCCAACATGGAGAAACCTCCTCTCTACTAAAAGTACAAAAATTAGGTGGGCGTGATGGTGGGTGCCTGTAAATCCAGCTACTTAGGAGGCTGAGGCACGAGAATTGCGTGAACCTGGGAGGTGGAGGCTGCAATGAGCCGAGGTCTCACCACTGCATTCCAAACTGGGTGACGAAGTGAGATTGCGTCTCAAAAAAAAAAAAAGTTCTAAAAGTTGTGACTTGGGTGTGGCAGATTGTGACATACTGCCAGCTGCTAGAAATGCTGGGGCAGGAGGATTGCTTGAACTCTGAAGTCAAAGAACAGCCTGGGGAAAATAGCACATGAAGAAGAGTTTGAATCTCAGATAAAAACAACAAAAATACATCAAAAGTCTTTAATGTAAGCCAAGCATTCAGTCATCTCCTGTATGAGAGATTGGATCTGAGACGTGTTTTGAGTTGGTTATAGTGAAGGATGCAAGGTGTCAATTCTAGTTGGAACAATTTCCAGGAAGCCATGTTCCGCTCTTGACCAAACAGCCACTGGGCCTCATGCAAGGTAGAAATAGCCTGCATACGTCATCCTCCCATGATGTGGTCAGCATGTAAACTGCATGAGCCCCTCACAACATCCTGTGTGCTGCTGAACTGAGCTGGGGCGCAGCCGCCTGTCTGCACCGGCAGCACCATGTCGCTCATGGTCGTCAGCATGGCGTGTGTTGGTGAGTCCTGGAAGGGAATCGAGGGAGGGAGCGCTGGGGTGGAGATCTGGGCCTGGAGTGGAGATCTGGGCCTGGAGTGGAGATATGGGCCTGGAGTGGAGATATAGGCCTGGAGTGGAGATATGGGCCTGGGGTGGAGATATGGGCCTGGAGTGGAGATATGGGCCTGGAACTGTAGATATGGGCCTGAAGTAGAGATATGGGCCTGGAGTAGAGATATGGGCCTGGAACTGTAGATATGGGCCTGGAGTGGAGATATTGGCTTGGAGTGCAGATATGGACCTGGAATTGAGATACGGGCCTGGAGGTGGAGATATGGGCCTAGAGTGGAGATATGGGCCTGGAGGTGGAGATATGGGCCTGGAACTGTAGATATGGGCCTGGAGTAGAGATACGGGCCTGGAGTGGAGATGTTGGCTTGGAGTGCAGATATGGGCCTGGAATGGAGACACGGGCCTGGAGGTGGAGATACAGGCCTGGAGGTGGAGATATGGGCCTGGAGTGTAGATATGGGCCTGGAGTAGAGATATAGGACGGAGGTGGAGATATAGGCCTGGAGTGGAGATATGGGCCTGGAGTAGAGATATAGGACGGAGGTGGAGATATAGGCCTGGAGTGGAGATATGGGCCTAGAGGTGGAGATATGGGCCTGGAGTGGAGATATGGGCCTGGAGGTGATGTACAGATGGATCATCCATCATGATCTTTCTTTCCAGGGTTCTTCTTGCTGGAGGGGCCCTGGCCACATGTGGGTGAGTCCTTCCCCCAAACCTTAGGTTGTCATCTCCCCACATAAGATGATGCTCCTGAAACGGGAGGCAGGCGACACAGGGGGTTGACTGATGGGCTGACCATGGGAAGCCATGTGGGAATCTCTCATGAACTAGGAAAAGGAAGCCAGGGGAAGCTTCGCCACAGTTCTGTCCTAGCCCTCCCCGGCCTTTCTTTCCCTTGGCTGAGTCTGTGGGGACCCAGGGGGAGACTGAAGTGCTCAAAGGAGTGGTGTGCAGGGAGGAAGTGGTGTCACCGGCAGAGGAAGGGAGAGAAGCAGTGCAAGGAACAACAGGCCTCTGAGGACAAGAGCATAACTCACACCCTCCAGCGTTTCCATGACGGTAGGGGCTGCAATGTGGCTGCTGTCATTCTACCTAAGAGGTGGGGGAACCACAGTCATGACCCTGACATTCCAGATCTTCTAATAGGGGCTCAGTTGTTTATTATGGTTCATGCATTAGCTGATCATGCCCTCCATCCTGTGTCTACCTTGTGTTCTTTTATGTAAGTAATTTTGCAGTGTTAAAATCTAGTAAGAGTCGCTTCTTCAGCACCTGCTCAAAGTTCTCAGCTGACACTTGCTGTAGGGAGACGCCATGTCTATGCGGGATGGGTCCTTCCTGTAGCCCTGGGCACCCAGGTGTGGTAGGAGCCTTAGAAACGTGGAAATGGGAGAATCTTCTGAGCACAGGGAGGGAGGGGCGGCTCCACATCCTCCTCTCTAAGGTGGTGCCTCCTTCTCCCCCAGGTGGTCAGGACAAGCCCTTCCTCTCTGCCTGGCCCGGCACTGTGGTGTCTGAAGGACAACATGTGACTCTTCAGTGTCGCTCTCGTCTTGGGTTTAATGAATTCAGTCTGTCCAAAGAAGACGGGATGCCTGTCCCTGAGCTCTACAACAGAATATTCCGGAACAGCTTTCTCATGGGCCCTGTGACCCCAGCACATGCAGGGACCTACAGATGTTGCAGTTCACACCCACACTCCCCCACTGGGTGGTCGGCACCCAGCAACCCTGTGGTGATCATGGTCACAGGTCAGAGGCTTTCTGTCTGGGCTTCTCACTGTCCCACCTCCTGAATCCCAGAGCTTCTGGTGGGGGCGTCCATCAGGGTCCAATCATCCAGGCCCCGACTGTATTTGGGGTAAAGGGGGATTCAGTACAGAGAAATAGTTGCTGTGGTGGGAAGAATAATTGTCCCCAGTGATGGCTACATGGTAATCCATGAACCCTGTGACTATTTATGTTATAGGGCAGGGGACTGAAGAGGAAGATGGAGCTCAGGTTGTTGATGAGTTGACCTTGCGATGGGGAGACAGCCTGGACTGTCCTGCTGTGCTCAGAGTAATCACAAGGGTCCTCATGAGAGGAGGAGGAAGAGGAAAGTGGGGTTAGAGCAACGTCGTGGGAGGGAGACTCCATCAGCCACAGCGGGCTTTGAAGATGGGGGAAGGCCATGAGCCACAAAGGCAGGTGGCCTCTAAGGGCTGGAGAAGTCAAGGGAACTGATTCTTCCCTGAGTCTCCAGAGGAAACACAGCCCTGCAGATGCCTTGATTTTAGCCCAGAGAGAACTGGGTCCGATTTCTGTTCTCCAGAAGTGGAAGGGGTCATTGTATTCTCTCCTGCCCCATGTTTGTGACAATTTTCTCCAGCAGCAACAGGAAACCAACACAGGAACCCAGGTGAAGCACAGGTTAAGAAACCAAACAAGGAGAAGGTTGGCTACACTGATTTTAGCATGGGTGGGATACTGATGCTACCACCAGGCTCGATCCACATAGGGAGGGGTTGATGCTCCTGGAACCAGCACCAGGGGCCACCCTATGGAAGCTGGGGCCATGGAGAAGGCACAGACATGAAAGGAGAGGCTCCCAATCCCCATCAGGAACAGGGACACTGATGCCTGCCTTACTGATGAGTTCGTACCTCCTGCCGGCCTTTCCAATCTGTCCAAAAGAGATTGATTCAGGCTGCTAAGAGCCTGGACATGCAGCCTGTCATGGTTCCTCTTCCACCCCCACATAAACACCAGGAAAGAGATTAGTGGGAAACAGATACAACAGCCTAAGAGGTGACACTGAGCACAGTGGGAAGGGAATCAGGGCTACTAGAGACAGAGAGACAGGGAAGAGGGAGGGAGACAGATGGAGGGACCTGCAACAGGGGTTATGGGCACAAAAGAACACGGAGACACAGACAGGAAGGAGAGAGATAGACACCATGGAGGGGAAGCCTCACTTATTTCAGGTCCCATGAATGGGATGAGAAAGGGAGACGCCTTCTGAACTCACAACCTCTCTTCTTAGGAGTCCACAGAAAACCTTCCCTCCTGGCCCACCCAGGTCCCCTGGTGAAATCAGGAGAGACGGTCATCCTGCAATGTTGGTCAGATGTCAGGTTTGAGCGCTTCCTTCTGCACAGAGAGGGGATCACTGAGGACCCCTTGCGCCTCGTTGGACAGCTCCACGATGCGGGTTCCCAGGTCAACTATTCCATGGGTCCCATGACACCTGCCCTTGCAGGGACCTACAGATGCTTTGGTTCTGTCACTCACTTACCCTATGAGTTGTCGGCTCCCAGTGACCCTCTGGACATCGTGGTCGTAGGTGAGAGAATACAGACCTGCCTCTCACCCTTGCTGGGAGATGGAGTGAATGATCTAGGACTGGAAGCCCCAGGTGGTCATGAGGAAGATGAGTGTGGGGTTCCTATGGAGAGAAAGTGACTTGGTGAGGTCTGTACCAACAAAGGCAGAGAAACAGGAGACACAAGTACAGACCTCATGTCATAACATAGAAGCCAGACACAGGGGCCATACAAGGTGTTAGAAAAAGAGATAAAGAGGTAAAGAAGACACAGAGAGACAGACATATCCCAGAGAGAGGTGTCCTTCTATGCTGACTTTGTTCAGAGACCAGGCACAGGTTAGAAGGTTCCATTCTGTTTTACCTCTACAAAGTGTTCTCTCCCAGGAGAACCCAAAGAGACACATCTATCTGGCCTGAGTTGGGCCATGTGGCCCCAGGCTGGTGGCACCTACAGATGTTGTGTTTATTCTTAAACCTCTGCCTTCCGTGCAGTGGAGCTGTCATCGTCCCAGGACACCATGGCCCCAGGTGAGGGAGCAGAACACCAACCCCTGTATGCTGTGAGTTCCTGGAGTCCCCATACTGGATTCTGAGGCTCATATTCAAATAGCACCACATGTTATAGGATTACTGAGAACAAAAGCCCACAGAGAGACACGGAGTGAAATCAGGGAAATCAAAAAGCAAAGACATGAACACACACACAGAATGAGCCAGAAGAAGGGAATTGAGAGACTCACAGACACATAAAGAGATAGAAAAAGAGGGCAGAGAAGTGGAGCGTATGATGGAAGGAAGCAGAGAAAAGCCCTAAAATCAGAGCCCTGAGGGAGGGGCACAAAGACAGGGAAAGATAAAGATGTGAGGATGGATTGCAGAGACTCCAAAAGGGAACTAGAGAGACTGAGAGGCAGAGAAAGACAAGGAGATGGAGAGAGACAGATGATAGATGGACAGATAGATATAGATAGATGAAAGATAAAAGGTAGATGATAGATAATAGAGAGACAGGTGATAGACAAATAGATGATGAATGACTGATAGATGATATAGATAGACAAGTAGAAAGACAGACAGATGATATATAAATAGATATAGAGAGATAGAAAGACAGATAAACACATGATGATAGATGGATAGATGCATACATACATACATTGATTGATAGATGATAGATAACAGAGAGATAGGTCATAGATACACAGATGATGATAGATGATAGATACATACATAGATAAATGATAGATCGATCAATAGATAATAGATAGAAATATGCAGAAAGTTATGAGCAAGACAGAAAGTGAGAGACTCAGAATTAAAGAAAGAGGAAGATCAAGTCAACCAGTCCAAGGAGGGTCAGAGAGAATAAAATGGTACAAAAAAAGAAAACATAGCTAGGGATGGAGAAGTGAGGTCAGAGACCTAGAGAGACAGAGAAGGTGGAAGGAGGAAATAGACATGAAGAGAGATGGGGGTGGAGGGTGAGAGAGAGAAAGAGAGCATTAAGTCATAGAGCAGGGGAGTGAGTTCTCAGCTCAGGTGTGAGGAGAGCTGTGACAAGGAAGAACCTCCCTGAGGAAACCACCTCTTCTTCTTCCAGGTCTATATGGGAAACCTTCTCTCTCAGCCCAGCCGGGCCCCACGGTTCAGGCAGGAGAGAATGTGACCTTGTCCTGCAGCTCCCGGAGCTTGTTTGACATTTACCATCTATCCAGGGAGGCGGAGGCCGGTGAACTTAGGCTCACTGCAGTGCTGAGGGTCAATGGAACATTCCAGGCCAACTTCCCTCTGGGCCCTGTGACCCACGGAGGGAACTACAGATGCTTCGGCTCTTTCCGTGCCCTGCCCCATGCGTGGTCAGACCCGAGTGACCCACTGCCCGTTTCTGTCACAGGTGAGAAAACACCATGCCTGTCCCATGTCTTGTGATCCTAGAGCCATAGCTGAGGAGCTTCCTGCTGATGATGGAGAGAAGCATGGACAGATGCCGAGACAGAACACACAGCATGGGTGTAAGGGCGGGGTCAGGGCGCAGGATGGCAGACAGGGCACCTCCAAACCCTCCTGTATGGCCTGCAAGGATGCCCTTGATCAGGGTTCCAGGCACCCAGGCAGATGGAGAAAGAGGTCAGAACAGACCCAGAGGAGGGAGACTGGGCTCTGCCTGGGGAGATCAGAGGTTCTCTCAGCCCCTCAACCTTACCCACTTCCCAGAAGCCCATCCTGGCCTGTCACCCACAGAGAGATGTCATCACCAGCAACGCCTACACCCTTTTCTTTTTGTTTGAAGAAATATTTATTGAGGTGAAATATACCTATGTAATTTACCACCTTTACCATTTTTAAGTGTGAAGTCTACTGTTCATAAATACATTTATAGGCTGGGCACGGTGGCTCACGGTTGTAATCCCAACACTTTGAGAGGCCAAGGCAGGTGGATCATTTGAGATCAGGGGCTCAAGACCACCCTGGCCAACATGGGGAAAATCCATCTGTACTAAAAATACAAAATAATAATTATAATGATAATAATTAGCCGAGCATGGTGGCACATGCCTGTAGTCCCAGCTACTTGGTAGGGTTGGGCAGGAGTTGCACTTAATTGCAGGAGGCGGAGGTTGCAGTGAGCTGAGATCATGCCACTGCACTGCAGCCTGGGCAACAGAGAGAGACACTCTCTCAAAATTAATTAATTAATTAATTAGTATTCTTTTTTTTTTACCCTCCACCCTTCCCTTCCTGGCCTCTGGTAGCCACCATTCTACTCTCTACCTTTGTGAGATCCACCTTTTAGCTCCTGCATATGAGTGAGAAATGGAAATACTTGTAATGACCTCCAGTTCCATTCATGTGGCTGTAAATGACAGGATGTTACTCTTTCTATGGATGAGTTGTCCCTATTGTGTGTGTGTACCACATTCTCTCCATCCATTCACCCACTGATGGGCAGGTAGGTTGATCCACATCTTGGCTACTGTGAACACTGCTGGAACAGTCATGGGAGTGCAGATGTCACTTCGATACGCTGATGTCCTTTCCTTTGGGTTTACACCCAGTCATGGAATTGCTAGATCCTCTGGAAGTGTCTTTTTACATTTTGTTTTATGGTTTTTGTTTTTGTTTTTGTTTTTTTTAGACTGTTTCACTCTTGTTGCCCAGGCTGGAGTGCAGTGGCGCCATCTGGGCTCACTGCAACCTCCACCTCCAGGATTCAAGAGATTCCCCAGCCTCAGCCTCCCAAGTAGCTGGGTTACTGGCTCCCACCACCACACTCGGCTAATTTTTATATTTTTAGTAGAGACAGAGTTTCGCTATATTGGCCAGGCTGCTCTTCAACTCCTGACCTCAAGTGACCTACCCACCTCGGCCTCCCAATGTGCTGGGATTACAGGCATGAACCACTGTGCCCGACCTCATTTTATTTTTTGAGGAACTTCCATACTCTTCTCCTCTGTAATGGCTGTACTAATTTACATTCGTATCAGCAGTGTACCAGATGCAACCCTGGTTGACTCAGCAGAGCAAGAGACGTGCAGTAAGAGAGAATTTAGCTTATTTATGCACACGACACTTCCACTCACTCACTCGTTCAGCCAATGCCCCATGCTCAGGCTGTGCAGTGTGGAATCTTTTCCTATTGTTGCCATAACAAATTTCCACAAGCTTCGTGGATGAAAACATGTTTTTCTTAATTATCTCACAGTGCTGTAACTCAGAAGTATGAACTGCATTTCACTGGGCTGATATCAAAGGGACAGTAAGGCTGGATTTCTTTTTAAGGTTCCAAGCAAGAATCTGCTCCTTAACGTTTCCCAGCTCCTAGAGGCTCCCACGTTCCTGGGCCCCTGGTCCCCTTCCTCCTTCCTCCTTCCTCAAAGCCCACAAAGGCTGGTCACGTCTCACATGGCATCATTCAGACTCTTCTTCTTTACCCACACCTTTTTCTCTGAATCCTGCTCTGCCTTCTTCCTCATCTTTTAAGGACTTTGGGATTCTATTGGGGTCACCAAGATAATCCATCTCAATCTCCCTAAAATCATCCAGCGTACCCTCTTTTTAAGTTCAGCTGATTAGCAACCGTAATGCCATCTGCAATCTTCATTCCTCCTTTCCTGTAAAATAACATATTCACAAGCTATGGAGGCTAAGACAGGGACATTTTGGGGGTGGGGCAGCATTCTCCTGCCTTCCACAAATGGTAAACAGGATGCATTTGGCCTCTGCTCTTGGGACGCTGATATTGCAGATGGGTAAATGCGAGGGCAGAGAATGAATGCACAAGGGTACCAATAAATGAATGATCCATTGGGAAGCATCTGTGCACCAAATCTGGGGTTTTTTGTGTGTGTGTGTGTTTTTTGTTTTCTTTTTTTTTTTGAGTAGAGTCTCTCTCTGTTCCACAGGCTGGAGTGCAGTAGCACAATCTCAGCTCATTGCAACCTCTGCCTCCTGGGTTCATGCAATTCTCCTGCCTCAGCCTACCGAGTAGCTGGGATTACAGCTGTGCGCCACCACACTCGGCTAATTTTTTTGGTATATTTTTTTAGTAGAAATGAGGTTTCACCATGTTGTGCAGGCTGTCTCAAACTCCCAATCTCAAGTGATCCCACCGCCTTAGCGTCCCTAAGTGCAAAGATTACAGGCGAGAGCTACTGCGCCCAGCCAGGATTTAAAATAAGTAATAGATAATGCTGAGTATATAATTTCAGGTGACAGAGAAGGTCTCACTGATCAGATAATATTTGTGACCTTAATGGAAAAAATGGATTCAACCCTTGGAAGATTGGCGGAAGGATTTTCCACACTGAGCTCTCAGCCGTGAAGGCACAAAGGTGGAAACATTCTTAGTTCAAGGAAGAGGCTCTGCCTCAAATGCTGGGAATGAAGTGGGGAGAATGACAAGACAACTGTAGAGAGATGGAGAGCACACTGGGTACACAGGAAACTAAGGAGGAACAAGGAGCGTGTGTTTGATACTCACAGCCATTGGATTCAACTCAGAGCTAACTAGGAATCCCTACCTGATTAATAGTGACCGACATGAAAATAAGGGAGGCCCAGGTGCGTAACTGGAATCTAGGAGACGGTGGAAAAGGCAATTCCCGCCCCACTGGTGAAACGTAGGGTTGATTTACACACTAAATGAATGAAAGATGGATATAAGCTATGCTTGTGAGGTAGAATCATTTGCAGGGAGGGCTTGCTGGGTTTGATTTTTCCTAGTAGTTTAATCCTTGTTTCATTAATTTCTTTCTGAGATGTGTTTTTTTTCTACATCTAAATCCATACCTGGCAGAGGAGCGATAGACACATGAGGGGTGGTGCAAATGAAGGGACCTAGTATAATATAATATACAAGACTGTGGATGGGGGCTCACACCTGTAACCCAACACTTTGGGAGGCCAAGGCGGGTAGATCACTTAAGGGTAGGAGTTTGAGACCAGCCTGGCCAACATGGTGAAACCCCGTCTGTACTAAAAATACAAAAATTAGCCTGGTGCATTGGCACCTGCCTGTAATCCCAGCGACTGGGGAGGCTGAAGCAGAAGAATGGCTTCAACCCTGGAGGCAGAGGTTGAACTGAGATCGCATCACTGCACTCCAGCCTGACACAGGGGGACTCTGTCTCAAAAAATAAAAATAAAACATACATAATTATAATATGACACACAGAAATTACAAAGGCAACTGGATACCAACCATCATTTTTCTATTTCTCTGTGTTTAATTCTTTGACCCTTTATCTTATCCATTAAACAATCAGGTTAAACCTCTTCCTTATTTGGCTTTCTGTGAGCTTGGGATCATATGGAAAATGTGAAAGCCTCCTGAACCCACCAGCACAGGTCCTGGAATAGAGAACGTGCTCTGTTCATGGCATAAAACTTGCCCCTTCACCCAAATCCCCCAATTCATCTCTACTTCCAATCACCTATGGAGATACAGATAGATCATGGGGAGGTAAACACTAATACTCTTTGGAGTGAGCTCAGATCTTGGACTCAGAGACCAGTGCCAGCACTAGCCCCTGGTCACATTTCGTACTAACTCACAGAAGGACAGGCTGTATTGAAACAATAAACGACGGAGAGGGCGGTCCTTCCCCGTGCTTCTCGGGTGGAATAGCAGCCTAATATATGTCTCAGCAGATCACAAAAAGTAGCATGTTGTTCCTGGGCTACATCATTATTTCATGGCTGTTTGATTTAAGTCAGTTCTACTTCACTTTTTTTATCTTGATTTCATTTTTTCTTTCTTTTCTTGGAGAATGTAATTTTTTTGAGTCAAGAGGGTTGTGGTGGTAGAAACTGTAAAGCACATTCGCTGTGTATCAATCCCAATCCAGTCTTCCCAGAGAAGACTCTAAACACCTCCTGGAATGTACCTGGGCCTATACCAATTCCTATCACTCACCGTCACTCCAGGGAGACAGAACACACAGAGAACACATTACACAGGCAGGTTCATTACTAACAGATAAGCAGCGAGTGACAACAGAAGCCTACATTTCAATGTGAGCCAGTCCCTCAAGGCTCAGAAAAGCTGCTCGAGACATGTGGAGTCACCCCATATGCAGTGTATCTGGGGGAAATCAAAAAGCAGCCCAGCCTGGGTTTTGTACCCTGGAGCCACAGGAAGCACTCAGCTAAAGCACTGCATGACGTCCTCCTCCAGGAAGAACAGGAAGACAGCCCAGGCTGTTCTGGGATGTTCCTCCTGATCTCAGGACTTTGCTGTCTTAGTCCATTTTTGTTGCTCTAAAGGAACACTTGAGCCTGGGTAACTTCTAAAGAAAAGAAATGTGTTTGCCTCACAGTTCTGCAGGCTGTACTGGAAGCATGGCACCAGCATCTATTTCTTGTGACGGCCTCAGGCTGCTCCCGCTCTGGCAGAAGGGAAGGAGGGTCTATCTGTGCAGAGACCACAGAGATCACACGGCAAGAGAGGGAGCAAGGGGGAGGGGGAGCGATGGAGCTTCCAAGTTCTTTTTAACAACCAGCTCTCCAGGAACTAATAGAGGGGGAACTTGCTAACCCCATCTCCTTGGGACAGCATTGATCTGTTCATGATGGATCCACCTCCATGACCCAAACACCTCCCAAGAGGCCCAACCTCCCACCCTGGGGGTTACATTTCAATGTGAGGTTTGAAGTGGTCAAACATCTAAACTAAAGCAGTTGTATCCTCAGCACGTTCTATGGTTACTACAACTGAGAAAGCAGGAGGAAGCTAGGTCTCCCGCCATCTGGGTGCTTGTCCTAAAGAGACGTTGTATGTGGTTACCTGTCAATCAAGAAATGTGAGACAATTCATATAGAGGAACTGCTATGATTAGCTTCTTATTGGTGTCTTGTCTTCCTCCAGGTAACTCCAGATACCTGCACGCTCTGATTGGGACCTCAGTGGTCATCATCCCCTTTGCTATCCTCCTCTTCTTTCTCCTTCATCGCTGGTGTGCCAACAAAAAGAGTAAGTCTCACGAAGCAGAAGCCAGAGAGCTCAGGGCCATGTGGGGAAGCAGGATGGGAGCACTCAGGTGTGTGTTCCTTACAGGCAGGATGGTCCCTGACCCAAGGCAGGAGCCACAGAGGCAGGACTTTCTAGAGAGAGCACCAGACTCCCTGCCCCTGCCTTCAGCTCACAGACCATTGCCTGATTCTGAACCATATCCTCACATCCCCTGCAGCCACTCACATCCAGGAGAAGGTTCCATGACAGGCAGAAAGTGGGAGACAGAATCAATGGGATGGGAACTCAGAGCTATTCATGGGATGGGTCCTTGAGCTCAGAGAGATAGAATGTCTGAGTCTGCTGTTGGCAACTGAGGGACCTCAGGCACCTATGGCCTCCCCCTGCATGTTGGTATCTGCTTATGAAATGAGGACCCAGAAGTGCCCTCCGAGCTGTTTTGACGACTTCCGTCTTCTACAGATGCTGTTGTAATGGACCAAGAGCCTGCAGGGAACAGAACAGTGAACAGGGAGGTAGGTGCTCCTCAGCCCAGCCTCATGGCTAGTCTTATTCCCAAAGAGTCCTGAAAAATGTGAGCACCCTCCCTCACTCAGCATTTCCCTCCCTCCAGGACTCTGATGAACAAGACCCTCAGGAGGTGACATACGCACAGTTGAATCACTGCGTTTTCACACAGAGAAAAATCACTCGCCCTTCTCAGAGGCCCAAGACACCCCCAACAGATACCAGCGTGTAACACGGAACTTCCAAATGCTGAGCGCAGATCCAAAGTTGTCTTCTGTCCACCAGCACCACAGTCAGGCCTTGATGGGATCTTCTAGGGAGACAATAGCCCTGTCTCAAAACCGGGTTGCCAGCTCCCATGTACCAGCAGCTGGAATCTGAAGGCGTGAGTCTGCATCTTAGGGCATCGCTCTTCCTCACACCACGAATCTGAACATGCCTCTCTCTTGCTTACAAATGTCTAAGGTCCCCACTGCCTGCTGGAGAGAAAACACACTCCTTTGCTTAGCCCACAATTCTCCATTTCACTTGACCCCTGCCCACCTCTCCAACCTAACTGGCTTACTTCCTAGTCTACTTGAGGCTGCGATCACACTGAGGAACTCACAATTCCAAACATATAAGAGGCTCCCTCTTAACACGGCACTTAGATACATGCTATTCCACCTTTCCTCATGTTGTTCCACCTTTCCTCAGAGTATCTTTCAGCCTTCTGTCAGCAGTAAAACTTATAAATTTTTTTTATAATTTCAATGTAGTTTTCTATTCTTCAAGTAAACATGTCTGCCCTCATGGTTTCGTCAATGGGACTCTTTTCTTGCCTAAGGCTTCCGGTGTTATCATTACCACGTCCACATAACCCCATCTGTTCTCCGCTGGGTTCTCACCCCTGGACTCTGAGCTTCTGGAAGCAGGGTGGAGCCTGAATTGTCTCTGAGACTCCAGTTTCCATCCAAAGATGCAGCACATAGGAGGTTCCAAGGATGGTGAATCAGATGAACAAGTGATATTCTTACTCTCTGCAGATCTGGAAAGCTGGCAGAGTCATTCCACGATGAAACATTTGTAGAGTCATAGGCCTTGTTAGTCTCATCTCCACAGGGACACGTATCAACACATCATCTTTCATACTACTATAAATAGACAGTCACTCCTCCATATCTCTGGGGTTTACACATGTTTATTGAATCAGCAATAAATCAAAAATATTTTGAGAAAAAAAATCCCCGAAGTTTCAAAAAGCAAAAAACTATGTTGAATCGACACAAATTGAGTGGCGTGTAGGCTGTGTCAGGAATTATAAGTAATCAAGAGATGATTTCATGTATACAGGAGGATGTGCATGGGTTCTATGCAATTGCTATGCTATTTTTTTTTTTGAGACAGTCTCACTCTCTCACCCAGGCTGGAGTGCAGTGGCGTGATCTCAACTCACTGCAACCTCCGCCTTCCAGGTTCAAGCGATTCTCTTCCCTCAGCCTCCTCAGTAGCCTCCCCTAGGATTACAGGCACGTGCCACCCTGCACAGATAAATTTTTTTGTGTGTGTATTTTTAGTAGAGACGGGGTTTCAGAATGTTGGACCAGCTGGTCTTGAACTCCTGACCTTGTGATCTACCCAGCTCAGCCTCCCAAAGTGCTGGGATTACGGGCGTGAGCCACGGTGCCCAGCTTCACTATGCCATTTCATGCAAGGGGCTTGAGCATCTGCAGATTTTGGTATCTGAATGGGGATCCTGGAACCAATCACCCAGGTATAGTGAAGGACCATGGTATATAATTTTTATTTGTCAATCTTAAAAATAAAGCATAAAAAATTTACAACAACAAGATAAAAAATAAGAAGTGTTTTTATAGTGTGAGGATAAGTTTAGATTTATTTTTTCCTACGTGTAACCCTATGGTCCTGTGTTATTTGTTGAGAAAATATTCTATTCCACCTTAAACTACATGGCAGCCTTTGTCAACTATAAAGGGACTGTGTATCCACAGATGTATTTTAGACACAGTTTTCTGTCCAGTGGTTCTCTGTATCCCCTCTCATGAGGATGCTGCATTTTATATAAACTTATAGAACCCCTTAAAATTTGGTAACCTGAGTCCTCTGATTTGTTATTATAGGTTATTTAGTTTGCTTTTTTTTTTTCTTGAGACAGACTCTTCCTCTGTCACCCAAGCTGGAGTTCAGTGGCTTGAGCTCAGCTCACTGCAACCTCCGCCTCCCAGGTTCAAGCTATTCTGATGCCTCTGGTTTAGTACTAGAAACTCAAGCAGGAAAATTAGAATGGCTTCTTGTCACAATTACTCTGATAATGTTAATAATACCTGTTAGACATTTTGCACATTACATATGAAGAAGAGTTTGAATCTCAGATAAAAACAAAAATACATCAAAAATCTTTAATGTAAGCACAGAATTCAATCATCTCGTGTATGAGAGGTTGGATCTGAGACGTCTTTTGAGTCTGGTCGTAGTGAAGGACGCAAGGTGTCAATTCTAGTGAGAACAATTTCCAGGAAGCCATGTTCCGCTCTTGAGCGAGCACCCACTGGGCCTCATGCAAGGTAGAAAGAGCCTGCGTACGTCACCCTCCCATGATGTGGTCAACATGTAAACTGCATGGGCAGGGCGCCAAATAACATCCTGTGCGCTGCTGAGCTGAGCTGGGGCGCGGCCGCCTGTCTGCACAGACAGCACCATGTCGCTCATGGTCGTCAGCATGGCGTGTGTTGGTGAGTCCTGGAAGGGAATCGAGGGAGGGAGTGCGGGGATGGAGATCGGGGCCCAGAGTTGGAGATATAGGCCTGGAAGTGGAGTTATGGGCCTAGAGATGGAGTGATGGGCCTAGAAGTGGAGATCTGGGCCTGGAGTGGAGATATGGGCCTGGAGGTTGAGATATGGGCCTGCAGTAGAGATATGGGCTTGTAGTGGAGACATGGGCCTGGAGATGGAGATATGGGCCTGGAGATGGAGATATGGGCCTGCAGTAGAGATATGGGCCTGGAGTGGAGATATGGGCCTGGAGTGGAGATATGGATCTGGAGGTGGAGATACGGGCCTGCAGTAGAGATATGGGCCTGGAGTGGAGATATGGGCCAGGAGTGGAGTTATGGGCCTAGAGGTGGATATCTGGGCCTGGAGTGGAGATATGGGCCTAGGAAGGAGATATGGGCCTGGGTGTGGAGATATGGGACTGGAGAGGTGATATGGGCCTGGAGTGGAGATATGGGCTTAGGGTGGAGATCTGGGCCTGGGGCAGAGATATGGGACTGGATTGGAGATATGGGCCTAGGGTGGAAATATCAGCCTGGAGTGGAGATATGGGCTTGTGGTGGGGATCTGGGCCTGGAAACTGGGTCTCTGCACAGCCGACAGCCCTGTTCTTGGGTGCAGGTAGGCACTGAGGGTGAGTTTAACTTCAGCCCAGGAAGGGCCTGGCTGCCAAGACTCACAGCCCAGTGGGGGCAGCAAGGGAGTCCTGGTTTGCCTGCAGATGGATGGTCCATCATGATCTTTCTTTCCAGGGTTCTTCTTGCTGCAGGGGGCCTGGCCACATGAGGGTGAGTCCTTCTCCAAACCTTCGGTTGTCATCTCCCCACATAAGAGGATTTTCCTGAAACAGGAGGGAAGTCCTGTCAGGGAGTCTCTCATAAACTGGGAAGAGAGGACCCTGGGGTGCTCGGCCCACATTTCTGACCTTGCCTCCCTGGCCTCTCAACCCCTTGGCAGAGTCAAGTTCTGTGGGGACCAGGGTTAGACTGGGGTGCTCAAAGCTGGGGTGTGTGGTGGGGAAGTGGTAGGAACAGCAGATCCTCTGAGGACAAAGGTGTTACTCACACACTTCAGCGTTTCCATGATGGTAGGGGCTGCAGTGTGGCTGCTGTCATTCTACCAGAAGAGGTGGGAAACCACAGCCATGGCCCTGACATTCCAAATCCTCTGATGGGGGCTCAGTTGTTTATTTTCGTTCAGGCATCCGCTGATATCCACTCACAAAGGACATGCCCTCCACCTCATGTCTACCCTGTGTTGTTTTATGTGAGTAATCTTACAGTATTAAAATCTAGTAGGAGTCTCTTTACTCAGCACTTGCTCAAAGTTCTCAGCTGAGGCTTTTGTTGTAGGGAGACACCATGTCTTTGCGGGATGGGTCCTTCCTTCAGCCCTGGGCACCAAGGTGTGATAGTAGCCATAGAAACGTGGAAAGCGAGGAGAATCTTCTGAGCACAGGGAGGGAGGGGCAGTTCCACATCCTCCTCTCTAAGGCGGCGCCTCCTTCTCCCCAAGGTGGTCAGGACAAGCCCTTGCTGTCTGCCTGGCCCAGCCTTGTGGTGCCTCTAGGACATGTCATTCTTCGGTGTCACTCTTATCTTGGGTTTAACAACTTCAGTCTGTACAAGGAAGGTGGGGTGCCTGTCCCTGAGCTCTACAACAGAATATTCTGGAACAGCCTTTTCATGGGCCCTGTGACCCCCGCACAACAGGGACATACAGATGTCGGGGTTCACACACACACTCCCCCAGTGGGTGGTCAGCACCCAGCAACCCCCTGGTGATCGTGGTCATAGGTCAGAGGGCTCCTGTCTTGGATTCTCCTTGTCCCACCTCCTGAATCCCAGAGCTTCTGGTGGGCATGTCCTTGAGGGTCCCATCACGCAGGCCCTGACTGTATTTGTGGTAAAGGGGGATTGAATACAGGGAAATGGGTGCTGTGGTGGGAAGAATAATTGTCCCCAGTGATGACTACATTCTAATCCCTGGAGTCTGTGACTATGTATGTTATAGGGGAAGGGACTGAAGGGGAAGATGGAGCTCATGGGGAGACAGCCTGGACTGTCCCACTGGGCTCAGTGTAATCACAAGGGTGCACATGAAAGGAGGAGGAAGAGGGGAGTGGGGATTAGAGCAGTCCAGTGGAAGTCTTCACCAGCTTTGAAGGTGGAGGAAGGCCAAGAGCCATGAATGCAGGTGGCCTATAGAGGCTGGAAAAGTCAAGGAACTGATTCTCCAGAGTCTCCAGAGGAAACGAAGCCCTGCAGATGCCTTGATTTTAGCCCAGGAAAAATAGGGTCCAATTTCTGTCTCCAGTACTGGAAGGTGTCAGTGTGGTCTCTCCTGCTTCCATGCTTCTGATAATTTTGTACAGCAGCAACAGGAAACCAACACTGGAACCCAGGTCAAGGACAAGTTAAGAAACAACCCAAGGAAAGCCAGGCATGGTGGCAGGCGCATGTAATCCTAGCGACTCAGGAGGCTGAGGGCAGGAGAATCACTTGAACCCAGGAAACAGAGGTTGCAGTGAGCCTAGACCACACCACTTCACTCCAGCCTGGGTGAAGGAGTGAGACTCTGTCTCCAAAATTAATTAATTAATTAAAGAAACCAAACAAGGAGAAGGTTGGCTACCCTGAGATCAGCAAGGGTGGGATGATGATGCCACCACCAGGCTCCATCCACATAGGGAGGGGTTGATACTCCTCCAACCAGCACCAGGAGCCAGCCTATGGAAGCTGGCACCATGGAGAAGGCACAGGCATGGCAAGAGTGGCTCCCAGTCCCGACCAGGAACAGGGTGTGTGGACACTGGTGCCTGCCTTATTCATCAGTTCATACCTTCTGCCAAGGATTGCAATTCATCCAAAAGAGATTGAACAAGGCTGATAAGAGCCTGGATGTGCAGCCTATCCTGGTTCCTCTTTCACCCCCACATAAACAGCAGGAAAGACGTTAGTGTGAAATAGATACAACACCCCAAGAGATGAGGCTAAGCCCAGTGGGAAGGGAATCAGAGGCTACTAGAGACAGAGGGACAGAGAAGAGGGAGGGAGACAGATGGAAGGACCTGCACCAGGAGTTATGGGCACAGAAAAGAACATGAAGACACAGAGAGGAAGGAGAGAGACAGACACCAGCAAGGGGAAGCCTCACTCATTCTAGGTGCCATGGATGGGATGATAAAGAGAGACACCTTCTAAACTCACAACCTCTCTTCTTAGGAGTCCACAGAAAACCTTCCCTCCTGGCCCACCCAGGTCCCCTGGTGAAATCAGAAGAGACAGTCATCCTGCAATGTTGGTCAGATGTCAGGTTTGAGCACTTCCTTCTGCACAGAGAGGGGAAGTATAAGGACACTTTGCACCTCATTGGAGAGCACCATGATGGGGTCTCCAAGGCCAACTTCTCCATCGGTCCCATGATGCAAGACCTTGCAGGGACCTACAGATGCTACGGTTCTGTTACTCACTCCCCCTATCAGTTGTCAGCTCCCAGTGACCCTCTGGACATCGTCATCACAGGTGAGAGTGTCCGGACATTCTCATTGTCATTGGGCTGCAGAGTGAATGATCCACGACTTGGAACCCCCAGGTAGTTGTAAGGAAGATGAGCTTGGTATTCTTATGGAGAGAGACTGACTTGCTGAGGTTTGTACCAACAGAGACAGAGAAACAGGAGACACAAGTACAGACCAGGTGTCATAACGGAGGACAGACACAGGGGCCATACAGGGAGTTAGAAAAGACAGAAAGAGTTAAAGGAGACAGACAGACAGACATGTCCCAGAGAGAGGTGTCCCTCCATGCTGACTTTGCTCACAGACCTGGCACAGGATAGAAGTTTCATTTCTGTTTTACCTCCACAAAGTGTTCTCTACCAGGAGAACCCAAGGACACCCATATTTCTGACCTGAGTTGGGCCCTGTGGCCTCAGGCCTTGTGGCACCTACAGGCCATGTTTATTCTGACACCTCTGCCTTCCATGTAATGGAGAGTAACCGTCCCAGGATATCATGGCCCCAGAACACCAACCCCTGTATGCTGTGTGAACTTGTGGTCTCCAGACTGGATTCTGAGGCTCACATTCCAAATAACCCCACATATGAAAGGATCACTGAGAGGCACAGAGAGAAATCAGGAACACCAAAAAGCAAAGACATAAACACACAGAGAATGGGCCAGAGGAAGGAGATTGAGAGACTCACTGACACATAAAGAGAGAGAAAAGAGGGCAGAGGAGTGGTGAGAATGATGGAAGGGAGCAGAGAAAAGCACTAAAATTAGAGTCCTGAGGGAGAGGCACAAGGACATAGAAAGATGGAGATGTGGGGATGAACTGCAGAGATTCCAAAGAGAACTAGAGAGACCGAGAGGCAGAGCAAGACAGATGATAGATGGATAGATATAGATAGATGATAAATAGGTAGATGATAGATAATAGGTTAAAGATACATAGATGATGATTGATTGATTCATTAATAGATAATACATAGAGATGATGATGATGAAGACAGATAGATAATACGTACAGATAGAGAGGCAGACAGAAATCATAGAGAGAGAGATGATACATACATATAAATAACAGATGATTGATGGATAGATAGACAACTGATAGATACATAGATGATATATAGATATAGATGACAGGTAGAGAATTTGTAGATAGGCACCGAATAGATAAATAGATAGATCGACAGATAATAGATAGAAATATGCAGAAAGTTATGAACAGGACACAACGTGAGAAACTTAGAATTTAAAAAAGTAACATCAAGTCAACCAATCCAAGGAGAGTCAGAGAGAATAAAAGAATCCAAAAAGGGAAAACATATCTAGAGGTGGGGAAGCGAGGTCAGAGACCTAGAGAGACAGAGAAGGTGGAAGGAGGAAATAGACATGAAGAGAGATGGGGTGGAGGGTGAGAGAGAGAGAGAGAGAGCATTAGGTCATAGAGCAGGGGAGTGAGTTCTCAGCTCAGGTGAAGGGAGCTGTGACAAGGAAGATCCTCCCTGAGGAAAATGCCTCTTCTCCTTCCAGGTCTATATGAGAAACCTTCTCTCTCAGCCCAGCCGGGCCCCACGGTTTTGGCAGGAGAGAGCGTGACCTTGTCCTGCAGCTCCCGGAGCTCCTATGACATGTACCATCTATCCAGGGAGGGGGAGGCCCATGAACGTAGGTTCTCTGCAGGGCCCAAGGTCAACGGAACATTCCAGGCCGACTTTCCTCTGGGCCCTGCCACCCACGGAGGAACCTACAGATGCTTCGGCTCTTTCCGTGACTCTCCCTATGAGTGGTCAAACTCGAGTGACCCACTGCTTGTTTCTGTCACAGGTGAGGAAACCCCATATCTGTCTCATGTCCTATGATCCTAGAGCCTTAGCTGAGGAGCTTCCTGCTGATGATGGAGAGAAGCATGGACAGATGCAGAGAGAAGACGAAGCTTGGGTGTGAGGGAGGGATCAGGGCACAGGATGGCAGACAGGGCACCTCCAAACCCTCCTACACGGCCTGCATGAAGGCCCGCGGCCAGGGCTCCAGGCACACAGGCAGATGGAGAAAACGGTCAGGAGAGACCCAGAGGAGAGAGACTGGGCTCAGTTTGGGAAGATCAGAGGTTCCCTCAGCCCCTCAACATTATCCATTTCCCAGAAGCCCATCCTGGCCTCTCACCCACACAGGGATGTCATCACCAGCAACCCCTACACCCTTTACTTTTGTTTGAAGAAATATTTATTGAGGATAAATATACCTATATAGCTTACCACCTTTAACATTTTTTTTTTTTTTGAGGCAGAGTCTAGCTCTGTCCCCTATGCTGGAGTGCAGTGGCACAATCTCAGCTCACTGCAATTTCCGCCTCCTGGGTTCAAGCGATTCTCTTGCCTCAGCCACCTGAGTAGCTGGTGCTACAGGCGCGCACCACCACGCCAGGCTACTTTTTGTATTTTTAGTAGAGAGGTGGTTTCACCATGTTGGTCGAGCTGGTCTCCAACTCCTGACCACGTGATCCACCCGCATGTGCCTCCCAAAGTGCTGGGATTACAGGCATGAGCCACCACGCCCAGCCACATTTACCATTTTTAAGTGTAAAGTCTAGTGGTCATAAATACATTTATATATATATATATATTTTTTTTTTTTTTACCCTCCACCCTTTTCTTCCTGGCCTCTGGAAGCCATCATTCTACTCTCTACCTTCATGAGATCCACCTTTTAGCTCTGTATATGGGTGAGAAATGGGAATCTTTGTAATGACTTCCAGTTCCATCCATGTGGCTGCAAATATCAGGATGTTATTCTTTCTATGGATGAGTAGTCTCCACTGTGCGTATGTACTACATTCTCTCTATCCATTCATCCACTGATGGGCAGGTAGGTTGACTCCACATCTTGGCTACTGTGAACAGTGCTGCACCAATCATACGAGTGCAGATATCACTTCGATATATTGATTTACTTTCCTTTGGATATAAACCCAGTAGTGAAATTGCTGGATACTATGAAAGTTCTCTTTTTAGTTTTTCGTTTGTTGTTTTGTTTTTGTTTTTGAGACAGTTTCCCTCTGTGCCCAGGCTGGAGTACAAGTGATGTCATCTTGGCTCATTGCAACCTCTGCCTCCTGGGTTCAAATGATTTTCCTGCCTCAGCCTCCCTAGTAGCTGGGATTACAGGTGCACGCCACCATGCCTGGCTACTTTTTGTTTTTTTTAGTATAGATGGGGTTTCCCCATGTTGGCTGGGCTGCTCTCAAACTCATGACCTCAACTGAGATGCCCGCCTCAGTCTCCCAAAGTGCTGGGATTACAGGCCTGATCCACCACACCCAACCTCTTTTTAGTTCTTTAAAGGACTTCCATACTTTTCTCCGTAATCGCTGTACTAATTTACACTCCTCCCAACAGGGTACCAGGGTTCTCCTTTCTCTACCACCTTGCCAGCATTTCTTTTGCCTGTCTTGCAGCTAAAAGCCATTTTATTTTATTTCATTTTATTTTGAATGGAGTTTTGCTCTTCTCACCCAGGCAGGAGTGCAGTGGCGCTATCTCGGCTCACCACAACCTCCACCTCCCAGGTTCAAGCGATTCTCCTGCCTCAGCCTCCCGAGTAGCTGGAATTACAGGCACACTCCACCACGCCCGACTAATTTTTGTATTTTTAGTAGAGACAGTGTTTCTCTATGTGGGTCAGACTGGTCTCAAACTCCTGACCTTATGAGATTCACCCACCTCAGGCTCTCAAAGTTCTAGGATGACAGACGTGAGCCACCACGCCCGGCCTAAAAGCCATTTTAATGGGGTGAGATGAAAACTCACTTTGATTTTAATTTGCGTTTCTCTGATGATGAGTGATACTGAGCACTTTTTAGTATGTGGGGAAATTTCATGTCTTCTGCTCCTTTTTCAATTAAATCATTTGTTTTATTGAGTTGTTTGAGCTTCTTATATTTCTAGTTATTAATCCCATCTCAGATGCATAGTTTGCACATATTTGCTCCCAATCTGTGGGTTGTCTCTTCACTTTGTTGGTTTATTTTTAGCAGTGCAGAAGTTGCTTAGTTTGAGGTAATCCCAATGGTCTATTTTTGCTTCGATTACTTGTGTTTTCAAGGTTTAAAACAAAATGTCTTTCTTCAGACAAATGTCCTGGAGCATTTCCCCAATATTTTGTTCTACGTGTTTCATAGGTTCAGGCCTTAGACTCACATCTTTAATCCATTTTCATTTGATTTTTGTGTATGGTGACAGGTAGAGGTGCAGTTTCATTCCTCTGCATGTCGATGTCCAGGTTTCCCTGCACTGTTTATTGAAAAGACTGTCCTTTCCTGATTGTGAGTTCTTGGCACCTTTGTCAAAGTCCATTGGATGGGCTGGGCTTGGTGGCTGACACCTGCAATTTCAGCACTTTGGGAGGCCGAGGCGGGTGGATTACCTGAGGCCAGGAGTTCAAGATCAGTCTGGACGACGTGATGAAACATCGTCTCCACTAAAAATATAAAAATTAGCTGAGCATGGTGGTCAGCACCTGTAATACCACTACTCAGGAGTTTGAGGCAAGAGAATGATTGAACCCAGGAGGCTGAGGTTGCAGTGAACTGAGATTGCACCTCTGCACTCCAGCCTGAGTGACAGAGCAAGACTCCATCTCAAAAGAAAAAATAAAAAACCATTGGATGTAAATGCATGGAATATATCTGTGTTATTCATTCTGCTCCGTTGTTCTATGTCCCTTTCTTTATGCCAATGTCATGCTGTTTTGCTTACTACAGCTCTGTAACATATTTTGAGATCAGGTAGTGTGATGCTCCTGTTTTCTCTTTATACCTTGAAGTCTCAAGACAGTGGGCGTCACATAAAAAAATTATGGAAAAAAGGATCCCAGGACTCCCAGGGCCCAATATTAGATAACAGAGTGTTGGCCATGAACCATCCTCAAAGATTTCCACTGAGTAGAGGACAGACACCCTCATTTCCTCACCTCTCTCCTGTCTCATGTTCTAGGAAACCCTTCAAATAGTTGGCCTTCACCCACTGAACCAAGCTCCAAAACCGGTGAGTACAGAACCCTCTTATATCCGCTTTTGGAAACCTGGGGAGGTGGAAACCTTGGATTCAGGCGTTGACTCAGCATCTCACAGCTCTGACATTGTACCCCTGTCTTCCACCATCTCCGAACTCCAGATACTCCTACAGCGAAAGGGATCTGGGTCCAACACAGGGCTCAGTGAAATCTCTTCATCTCTCATTTTATGGAGCTGAGACTTCCTACAAGCTAGAAGAATGATTGCCAATCTGACATCCTTCTCAGGAAAAATGCAATGTTTGTTCTGCCTGCATTCCTAACTGGAGGATAAATTCCTGGAGACTTGAGAGAGGGAAGGGAAGGGAACATCTGATGAGGGCGAGGTGTTTTAGAGAAGTTCCACTTGCCAAGGAATGAGCTCCTATAGGTCATGAAGCAACCCTGGCTGACTCAGCAGAGAAAGAGCCTTGCTGTAACAGAGAACAGAGCTCATGCACGCACACTTCGACTCACTGACTCATTCAGCCACGGCCCCATGCTCAGGCTGTGCACTGTGGAAGCTTTTCCTATTGTTGCCATAACAAATTTCCACAAGATTCGTGGGTGAAAACAAAACGGTTTTTTAATTATCTTACAGTGCTGTAGCTCAAAGTATGAAGTGCATCTCACTGGGCTAAAATCAAGGTGACAGCAAGGCTGCCTTCCCTCTGAGGATTCCAGGCAAGAATCTGCTTCTCACTTTTCTCAGCTTCTAGAGGCTCCCACATTCCTTCGCTCCTGGTCCCCTTCCTCCTTCCTCAAAGCCCACAAAGACTGGTCACATCTCACATGGCATCACTCAGACCCTTCTTCCTTACCACACCTCTTTCTCTGAATGCTGCTCTCCCTTCTTCCTCATCTTTTGAAAACTTGGGGATTCTATTGGGTTCACCAAGATGAAAATCCATCATAATCTCCCGGAAATCATTCAGGATACCCTTGTTTTAAGTTCAGCTGATTAGCAACCATAATTCCATCTGCAATCTTCATTCCTCCTTTCCATGTAAAATAAGATATTCACAAGCTATGGAGGCTAGGACAGGGACATTTTGGGGTGGGACAGCATTCTCCTGCCTTCCACAAACAGTGAACAAGATGCATTTGGCCTCTGCTCTTTGGACACTGATATTGCAGATGGTTAAATGGGAGGGCAGAAAATGAATGCACAAGTGGACCAATAAATGAATGATCCATTGGGAAGCATCTGTGTATGAAATCTATTTGTTTGTTTCTTCATTTGTTTATTGAGACAGAGTCTCCCTCTGTCTTCCAGGCTACAGTGCAGTGTCACCATCTTGGCTCACTGCAACCTGCACCTTCTGGATCCAAGTGATTCTCCTGCGTCAGCCTCTCAAGTAGCTGGGATTACAGGCAACTGCCACCATGCCCGGCTAATTCTTTTTGTATATTTTTTGTAGAGGATGTTTCACCATCTTCGCCAAGCTTCTCTGAAACTCCCAACCTCAAGTGATCCGACCGTCTCAGCATCCTAAAGTACTGGGATAACTGGCGTGAGCCACTGTGCCCAGCCAGAATTTAAAATAAATAATACATAATGCTGAGTGTATGATTTTGGGTGACAGAGAAGATCTCACTAATCAGATATTTGTGACATTAATGAAAAACACGGATTGAACCCCTGAAAGATTGGCGGAAGGATTTTCCACACACAGCTGTCAGCCGTGAAGGCAGAAAGCTGAAAACAATCTGATGTGGAAGGAAGAGGCTCTGCCTCAAATGCTGGGAATGAGGTGGGGAGAATGACAAGACGACTGTGGAGAGACGGAGAGCACACTGGGTACACAGGAAACTAAGGAGCAACAAGGAGTGTGTGTTTGACACTCACAGCCATTGGATTCACCTCGGGGTAGCCAGGAATCCCTACATGATTAATAGTGACTGACATGAAAATAAGGGAGGCCCAGGTGCGTAACTGGAATCTAGGAGACTGTGGAAAAGGCAATTCCCGCCCCACTGGTGAAATGTGGTGCTGATTTAGACCCTAACTGGGTGAAGCAGATGGATATAAGCTATGCTTGTGAGGTGGAATCATTGGCTGGAAAGGCTTGCTGGGTATGATTTTCCTAGTTGTCTAATCCTCGCTTAATTTCTTTCTGAGCTTTATTCCTACTACACATAAATCAATACCTGGCAAAGGAGTGACAGATATATGAGGGGTGGTGGAAATGAAGGGACCTATTATAGCATAATATACAAGTCTGTGAACGGTGGCTCACGCCTGTAACCCAGCACTGCAGGAGGCCAAGGCGGGTGGATCACATGAAGTCAGCAGTTCGAGACCAGCCTGGCCAACATGGTGAAACCCTGTCTCTAGGAAAAACACAAAAATTAGCCGAGCATGGTGGTGCATCCCTGTAATCCCAGCTCCTACTCTGGAGGATGAAGCAGGAGAATGACTTCAACCCAGGAGGTGGAGGTTGCAGTGAGTGGAGGTTGCATCACTGCACTCCAGCCTGGGTGACACAAGGAGACTCCGTCTCAAAAAATAAAAATAAGAAATGCATAAATATAAATATAATATAACACATGCAAATGAGAAAGGGACCTGAATTCCAATCATGATTTTTCTATTTCTCTATAATTACTTCTTTGATCCTTTATCTTATCCATTAGGCAATGAGCCTAAAACCTCTTCCCTATTTGGCTTTCTGTGAGCATGAGATCATATAGAAAATGTGAAAGCCCGCTGAATCCTCCAGCACAGATCCTGGAATACACAAAGTGCTCTGTTCATCACAAGAAAACATGCCCTCTCACCCAAATCCCCCACCTCACCCCTACTTCCAATCATCTGTGGAGATTCAGATAGGCCATGGGGAGGTAAATTCTAATACTCCTTGGAGTGAGTCCAGATCTTGGAATCAGAGATTAGCGTCAGCAGTAGCTCCTGCTCCCCTTTCCTACTAATTCACAGGAGGACAGGTGGTATTGAAGCAATAGATGGCCGAGGGGGTGGTCCTTCCCCCAGCCTCTCGGGTAGAACAGCAACCTAACATGTGTCTCCTGAGATCACAAAGAGTAGCACGTTTCACATGGGCTTCAACACTGTTTCCTGGCCATTTGACATAAGAGAATTCTACTTCGCTTTTTTTATCTTGATTTCACTTTTGTTTCCTTTTCTTGGAGAATGCAAGTTGTTTGACTCAAGAATGCCGTGGATGTAGAAATCCTAAAGCACAGTCGCTGTGTATCAATCCCAGTGCAGTCTTCCCAGAGAAGACTCTAAACACCTCCTGGACTGCACCTGGGCCTATGCCAATTCCTATCACTCACCGTCACTCCAGGGAGACAGAACACACAGAGAATACATTACACAGGCAGGTTCATTACTAACAGATAAGCAGCGAGTGACAACAGAAGCCTACATTTCAATGTGAGCCAGTCCCTCAAGGCTCAGAAAAGCTGCTCGGGACATATGGAGTCACCCCATTTGCAGTGTAGCTGGGGGAAGCCAGAAAGCAGCCCAGCCTGGGTTTTGTACCCTGGAGCCACAGGAAGCACTCAGCTAAAGCACTGCATGACGCCTTCCTCCAGGAAGAACAGGAAGACAGCCCAGGCTGTTCTGAGACATTCCTCCTGATCTCAGGTCGTTGCTGTCTTAGTTTTTTTTTTTGTTGCTCTGAAGGAACACTTGAGCCTCGGTAACTTCTAAAGAAAAGAGATCGGTTTGCCTCACAGTTCTGCAGGCTGTACTGGAAGCATGGCACCAGAATCTATTTCTCGTGATGGCCTCAGGCTGCTCCCACTCTGGCAGAAGGGAAGGAGGGTCTGTCTGTGCAGAGACCACAGAGATCACACGGCAAGAGAGAGAGTAAGGGGGAGAGGGAGCAATGGAGCTTCCAAGCTCTTTTTAACAACCAGCTGTCCAGGAACTAACAGAGGGGGAACTTGCTAACCCCGTCTCCTTGGGACAGCATTGATCTGTTCATGATGGATCCACCTCCATGACCCAAACACCTCTGAAGAGGCCCAACCTCCCACAATGGGGGTGAAATTTCAATGTGAGGTTTGAAGGGGTCAAACATCTCAACTAAAGTAGTTGTATCCTCAGCACGTTCTATGGTTACTATGAGAGCTATAATTGAGAAAGCAGGGGAAAGCTAGGTCTCCCGCCATTTGGGTGCTTGTCCTAAAGAGACGTTGTATGTGGTTACCTGCCAATCAAGAAATGCGAGACAATTCATAAAGAGGAACTGCTATGATTAGCTTCTTATTGGTGTCTCCTCTTCTTCCAGGTAACCCCAGACACCTGCATGTTCTGATTGGGACCTCAGTGGTCAAAATCCCTTTCACCATCCTCCTCTTCTTTCTCCTTCATCGCTGGTGCTCCAACAAAAAAAGTAAGTCTCACGAAGCAGAGGCCAGAGAGCTCAGGGCCATGTGGGGAAGCAGGATGGGAGCACTCAGGTGTGTGTTCCTCACCAGCAGGATGGTCCCTGGCCCAAGACAGGAGCCACAGAGGCAGGACTTTCTAGAGAGAGCACCAGATTCCCTTCCCCTGCCTTCAGCTCACAGACCGTTGCCTGATTCTGAACTGTACCCTCACGTCCCCTGCAGCCACTCACATCCAGGAGAAGGTTCCATGACAGGCAGAAAGTGGGAGATAGAATCAATGGGATGGGAACTCAGAGCTATTCATGGGATGGGTCCTTGAACTCAGAGAGATAGAATGTCTGAGTCTGCTGTTGGCAACTGAGGGACCTCAGGCACCTATGGCCTCCCCCTGTTTGTTGGTATCTGCTTATGAAATGAGGACCCAGAAGTGCCCTCCGAGCTCTTTTGTTGACTTCCGTCTTCTACAGATGCTGCTGTAATGGACCAAGAGCCTGCAGGGAACAGAACAGTGAACAGCGAGGTAGGTGCTCCTCGGCCCAGCCTCGTGGCTAGTCTTATTCCCAAAGAGTCCTGAAAAATGTGAGCACCCTCCCTCACTCAGCATTTCCCTCTCTCCAGGATTCTGATGAACAAGACCATCAGGAGGTGTCATACGCATAATTGGATCACTGTGTTTTCACACAGAGAGAAATCACTCGCCCTTCTGAGAGGCCCAAGACACCCCCAACAGATACCAGCATGTACATAGAACTTCCAAATGCTGAGCCCAGATCCAAAGTTGTCTTCTGTCCACGAGCACCACAGTCAGGCCTTGAGGGGATCTTCTAGGGAGACAACAGCCCTGTCTCAAAACCGGGTTGCCAGCTCCCATGTACCAGCAGCTGGAATCTGAAGGCATCAGTCTTCATCTTAGGGCATCGCTCTTCCTCACACCACGAATCTGAACATGCCTCTCTCTTGCTTACAAATGTCTAAGGTCCCCACTGCCTGCTGGAGAGAAAACACACTCCTTTGCTTAGCCCACAATTCTCCATTTCACTTGACCCCTGCCCACCTCTCCAACCTAACTAGCTTACTTCCTAGTCTACCTGAGGCTGCAATCACACTGAGGAACTCACAATTCCAAACATACAAGAGGCTCCCTCTTAACACAGCACTTAGACACGTGCTGTTCCACCTCCCTTCAGACTATCTTTCAGCCTTCTGCCAGCAGTAAAACTTATAAATTTTTTAAATAATTTCAATGTAGTTTTCCCGCCTTCAAATAAACATGTCTGCCCTCATGGTTTCGGTAACGAGACTCTTCTCTTGCCTAAGGCTTCCGGTGTTATCATTACCATGTCCACATAACCCCATCTGTTCTCCATTGGGTTCTCAGCCCTGGACTCTGAGCTTCTGGAAGCAGAATGGAGCCTGAATTGTCTCTGAGACTCCAATTTCCATCCAAAGATACAGCACATAGGAGGCTCCAAGGATCGTGAATCACATGAACAAGTGATATTCTTACTCTCTGCAGACCTGGAAAGCTGGCAGAGTCATTCCACGATGAAACATTTGTAGAGTCATAGGCCTTGTTAGTCTCATCTCCACGGGGACACATATCAACATATCATCTTTCATAATATAAATATACAGTCGGTCCTCCATATCTGTGGGGTTTACAGGTGTTTATTGAACCAACAATAAATCAAAAATATTTTGAGAAAAAAATCCCCGAAGTTTCAAGAAGCAAAAAACTATGTTGAATCGACACAAATTGAGTGGCGTGTAGGCTGTGTCAGGAATTATAAGTAATCAAGAGATGATTTCATGTATACAGGAGGATGTGCATGGGTTCTATGCAATTGCTATGCTATTTTTTTTTTTTGAGACAGTCTCACTCTCTCACCCAGGCTGGAGTGCAGTGGCGTGATCTCAACTCACTGCAACCTCCGCCTCCCAGGTTCAAGCGATTGTCTTCCCTCAGCCTCCCCAGTAGCCTCCCCTAGGATTACAGGCACGTGCCACCATGCACAGATAAATTTTTTTGTGTGTGTATTTTTAGTAGAGACGGGGTTTCAGAATGTTGGACCAGCTGGTCTTGAACTCCTGACCTTGTGATCTACCCAGCTCAGCCTCCCAAAGTGCTGGGATTACGGGCGTGAGCCACGGTGCCCAGCTTCACTATGCCATTTCATGCAAGGGGCTTGAGCATCTGCAGATTTTGGTATCTGAATGGGGATCCTGGAACCAATCACCCAGGTATAGTGAAGGACCATGGTATATAATTTTTATTTGTCAATCTTAAAAATAAAGCATAAAAAATTTACAACAACAAGATAAAAAATAAGAAGTGTTTTTATAGTGTGAGGATAAGTTTAGATTTATTTTTTCCTACGTGTAACCCTATGGTCCTGTGTTATTTGTTGAGAAAATATTCTATTCCACCTTAAACTACATGGCAGCCTTTGTCAACTATAAAGGGACTGTGTATCCACAGATGTATTTTAGACACAGTTTTCTGTCCAGTGGTTCTCTGTATCCCCTCTCATGAGGATGCTGCATTTTATATAAACTTATAGAACCCCTTAAAATTTGGTAACCTGAGTCCTCTGATTTGTTATTATAGGTTATTTAGTTTGCTTTTTTTTTTTTCTTGAGACAGACTCTTCCTCTGTCACCCAAGCTGGAGTTCAGTGGCTTGAGCTCAGCTCACTGCAACCTCCGCCTCCCAGGTTCAAGCTATTCTGATGCCTCTGGTTTAGTACTAGAAACTCAAGCAGGAAAATTAGAATGGCTTCTTGTCACAATTACTCTGATAATGTTAATAATACCTGTTAGACATTTTGCACATTACATATGAAGAAGAGTTTGAATCTCAGATAAAAACAAAAATACATCAAAAATCTTTAATGTAAGCACAGAATTCAATCATCTCGTGTATGAGAGGTTGGATCTGAGACGTCTTTTGAGTCTGGTCGTAGTGAAGGACGCAAGGTGTCAATTCTAGTGAGAACAATTTCCAGGAAGCCATGTTCCGCTCTTGAGCGAGCACCCACTGGGCCTCATGCAAGGTAGAAAGAGCCTGCGTACGTCACCCTCCCATGATGTGGTCAACATGTAAACTGCATGGGCAGGGCGCCAAATAACATCCTGTGCGCTGCTGAGCTGAGCTGGGGCGCGGCCGCCTGTCTGCACAGACAGCACCATGTCGCTCATGGTCGTCAGCATGGCGTGTGTTGGTGAGTCCTGGAAGGGAATCGAGGGAGGGAGTGCGGGGATGGAGATCGGGGCCCAGAGTTGGAGATATAGGCCTGGAAGTGGAGTTATGGGCCTAGAGATGGAGTGATGGGCCTAGAAGTGGAGATCTGGGCCTGGAGTGGAGATATGGGCCTGGAGGTTGAGATATGGGCCTGCAGTAGAGATATGGGCTTGTAGTGGAGACATGGGCCTGGAGATGGAGATATGGGCCTGGAGATGGAGATATGGGCCTGCAGTAGAGATAGGGGCCTGGAGTGGAGATATGGGCCTGGAGTGGAGATATGGGCCTGAAGTGGAGATATGGGCCTGGAGGTGGAGATATGGGCCTGGAGGTGGAGATATGGGCCTGGAGTGGAGATATGGGTCTGGAGGTGGAGATACGGGCCTGCAGTAGAGATATGGGCCTGGAGTGGAGATATGGGCCAGGAGTGGAGTTATGGGCCTAGAGGTGGATATCTGGGCCTGGAGTGGAGATATGGGCCTAGGAAGGAGATATGGGCCTGGGTGTGGAGATATGGGACTGGAGAGGTGATATGGGCCTGGAGTGGAGATATGGGCTTAGGGTGGAGTTCTGGGCCTGGGGCGGAGATATGGGACTGGATTGGAGATAGGGGCCTAGGGTGGAGATCTGAGCCTGGATTGGCGATATGGGCCTAGGGTGGAAATATCAGCCTGGAGTGGAGATATGGGCTTGGGGTGGGGATATGGGCCTGGAAACTGGGTCTCTGCACAGCCGACAGCCCTGTTCTTGGGTGCAGGTAGGCACTGAGGGTGAGTTTAACTTCAGCCCAGGAAGGGCCTGGCTGCCAAGACTCACAGCCCAGTGGGGGCAGCAAGGGAGGGCTGGTTCGCCTGCAGATGGATCGTCCATCATGATCTTTCTTTCCAGGGTTCTTCTTGCTGCAGGGGGCCTGGCCACATGAGGGTGAGTCCTTCTCCAAACCTTCGGGTGTCATCTCCCCACATAAGAGGATTTTCCTGAAACAGGAGGGAAGTCCTGTCGGGGAGTCTCTCATAAACTAGGAAGAGAGGACCCTGGGGTGCTCAGCCCACATTTCTGACCTCGCCTCCCTGGCCTCTCAACCCCTTGGCAGAGTCAAGTTCTGTGGGGACCAGGGTTAGACTGGGGTGCTCAAAGCTGGGGTGTGTGGTTGGGAAGTGGTAGGAACAGCAGATCCTCTGAGGACAAAGGTGTTACTCACACACTTCAGCGTTTCCATGACGGTAGGGGCTGCAGTGTGGCTGCTGTCATTCTACCAGAAGAGGTGGGAAACCACAGCCATGGCCCTGACATTCCAAATCCTCTGATGGGGGCTCAGTTGTTTATTTTCGTTCAGGCATCCGCTGATATCCATTCACAAAGGACATGCCCTCCACCTCATGTCTACCCTGTGTTGTTTTATGTGAGTAATCTTACAGTATCAAAATCTAGTAGGAGTCTCTTTACTCAGCACTTGCTCAAAGTTCTCAGCTGAGGCTTTTGTTGTAGGGAGACACCATGTCTTTGCGGGATGGGTCCTTCCTTCAGCCCTGGGCACCAAGGTGTGATAGTAGCCATAGAAACGTGGAAAGCGAGGAGAATCTTCTGAGCACAGGGAGGGAGGGGCAGTTCCACATCCTCCTCTCTAAGGCGGCGCCTCCTTCTCCCCAAGGTGGTCAGGACAAGCCCTTGCTGTCTGCCTGGCCCAGCCTTGTGGTGCCTCTAGGACATGTCATTCTTCGGTGTCACTCTTATCTTGGGTTTAACAACTTCAGTCTGTACAAGGAAGGTGGGGTGCCTGTCCCTGAGCTCTACAACAGAATATTCTGGAACAGCCTTTTCATGGGCCCTGTGACCCCCGCACAACAGGGACATACAGATGTCGGGGTTCACACACACACTCCCCCAGTGGGTGGTCAGCACCCAGCAACCCCCTGGTGATCGTGGTCATAGGTCAGAGGGCTCCTGTCTTGGATTCTCCTTGTCCCACCTCCTGAATCCCAGAGCTTCTGGTGGGCATGTCCTTGAGGGTCCCATCACGCAGGCCCTGACTGTATTTGTGGTAAAGGGGGATTGAATACAGGGAAATGGGTGCTGTGGTGGGAAGAATAATTGTCCCCAGTGATGACTACATTCTAATCCCTGGAGTCTGTGACTATGTATGTTATAGGGGAAGGGACTGAAGGGGAAGATGGAGCTCATGGGGAGACAGCCTGGACTGTCCCACTGGGCTCAGTGTAATCACAAGGGTGCACATGAAAGGAGGAGGAAGAGGGGAGTGGGGATTAGAGCAGTCCAGTGGAAGTCTTCACCAGCTTTGAAGGTGGAGGAAGGCCAAGAGCCATGAATGCAGGTGGCCTATAGAGGCTGGAAAAGTCAAGGAACTGATTCTCCAGAGTCTCCAGAGGAAACGAAGCCCTGCAGATGCCTTGATTTTAGCCCAGGAAAAATAGGGTCCAATTTCTGTCTCCAGTACTGGAAGGTGTCAGTGTGGTCTCTCCTGCTTCCATGCTTCTGATAATTTTGTACAGCAGCAACAGGAAACCAACACTGGAACCCAGGTCAAGGACAAGTTAAGAAACAACCCAAGGAAAGCCAGGCATGGTGGCAGGTGCATGTAATCCTAGCGACTCAGGAGGCTGAGGGCAGGAGAATCACTTGAACCCAGGAAACAGAGGTTGCAGTGAGCCTAGACCACACCACTTCACTCCAGCCTGGGTGAAGGAGTGAGACTCTGTCTCCAAAATTAATTAATTAATTAAAGAAACCAAAGAAGGAGAAGGTTGGCTACCCTGAGATCAGCAAGGGTGGGATGATGATGCCACCACCAGGCTCCATCCACATAGGGAGGGGTTGATACTCCTCCAACCAGCACCAGGAGCCAGCCTATGGAAGCTGGCACCATGGAGAAGGCACAGGCATGGCAAGAGTGGCTCCCAGTCCCCACCAGGAACAGGGTGTGTGGACACTGGTGCCTGCCTTATTCATCAGTTCATATCTTCTGCCAAGGATTGCAATTCATCCAAAAGAGATTGAACCAGGCTGATAAGAGCCTGGATGTGCAGCCTATCCTGGTTCCTCTTTCACCCCCACATAAACAGCAGGAAAGACATTAGTGTGAAATAGATACAACACCCCAAGAGATGAGGCTAAGCCCAGTGGGAAGGGAATCAGAGGCTACTAGAGACAGAGGGACAGAGAAGAGGGAGGGAGACAGATGGAAGGACCTGCACCAGGAGTTAAGGGCACAGAAAAGAACATGAAGACACAGAGAGGAAGGAGAGAGACAGACACCAGCAAGGGGAAGCCTCACTCATTCTAGGTGCCATGGATGGGATGATAAAGAGAGACACCTTCTAAACTCACAACCTCTCTTCCTAGGAGTCCACAGAAAACCTTCCCTCCTGGCCCACCCAGGTCGCCTGGTGAAATCAGAAGAGACAGTCATCCTGCAATGTTGGTCAGATGTCAGGTTTGAGCACTTCCTTCTGCACAGAGAAGGGAAGTTTAAGGACACTTTGCACCTCATTGGAGAGCACCATGATGGGGTCTCCAAAGCCAACTTCTCCATCGGTCCCATGATGCAAGACCTTGCAGGGACCTACAGATGCTACGGTTCTGTTACTCACTCCCCCTATCAGTTGTCAGCTCCCAGTGACCCTCTGGACATCGTCATCACAGGTGAGAGTGTCCGGACATTCTCATTGTCATTGGGCTGCAGAGTGAATGATCCACGACTTGGAACCCCCAGGTAGTTGTAAGGAAGATGAGCTTGGTATTCTTATGGAGAGAGACTGACTTGCTGAGGTTTGTACCAACAGAGACAGAGAAACAGGAGACACAAGTACAGACCAGGTGTCATAACGGAGGACAGACACAGGGGCCATACAGGGAGTTAGAAAAGACAGAAAGAGTTAAAAGAGACAGACAGACAGACATGTCCCAGAGAGAGGTGTCCCTCCATGCTGACTTTGCTCACAGACCTGGCACAGGTTAGAAGTTTCATTTCTGTTTTACCTCCACAAAGTGTTCTCTACCAGGAGAACCCAAGGACACCCATATTTCTGACCTGAGTTGGGCCCTGTGGCCTCAGGCCTTGTGGCACCTACAGGCCATGTTTATTCTGACACCTCTGCCTTCCATGTAATGGAGAGTAACCGTCCCAGGATATCATGGCCCCAGAACACCAACCCCTGTATGCTGTGTGAACTTGTGGTCTCCAGACTGGATTCTGAGGCTCACATTCCAAATAACCCCACATATGAAAGGATCACTGAGAGGCACAGAGAAAAATCAGGAACACCAAAAAGCAAAGACATAAACACACGGAGAATGAGCCAGAGGAAGGAGATTGAGAGACTCACAGACACATAAAGAGAGAGAAAAGAGGGCAGAGGAGTGGTGAGAATGATGGCAGGGAGCAGAGAAAAGCACTAAAATTAGAGTCCTGAGAGAGAGGCACAAGGACATAGAAACATGGAGATGTGGGGATGAATTGCAGAGATTCCAAAGAGAGCTAGAGAGACCGAGAGGCAGAGCAATACAGATGATAGATGGATAGATATAGATAGATGATAAATAGGTAGATGATAGATAATAGGTTAAAGATACATAGATGATGATTGATTGATTCATTAATAGATAATACATAGAGATGATGATGATGAAGACAGATAATACGTACAGATAGAGAGGCAGACAGAAATCATAGAGAGAGAGATGATACATACATATAAATAACAGATGATTGATGGATAGATAGACAACTGATAGATACATAGATGATATATAGATATAGATGACAGGTAGAGAATTTGTAGATAGGCACCGAATAGATAAATAGATAGATCGACAGATAATAGATAGAAATATGCAGAAAGTTATGAACAGGACACAACGTGAGAAACTTAGAATTTAAAAAAGTAACATCAAGTCAACCAACCCAAGGAGAGTCAGAGAGAATAAAACAATCCAAAAACGGAAAACATATCTAGAGGTGGGGAAGCGAGGTCAGAGACCTAGAGAGACAGAGAAGGTGGAAGAAGGAAATAGATATGAAGAGAGATGGGGTGGAGGGTGAGAGAGAGAGAGAGAGAGCATTAGGTCATAGAGCAGGGGAGTGAGTTCTCAGCTCAGGTGAAGGGAGCTGTGACAAGGAAGATCCTCCCTGAGGAAAATGCCTCTTCTCCTTCCAGGTCTATATGAGAAACCTTCTCTCTCAGCCCAGCCGGGCCCCACGGTTCTGGCAGGAGAGAGCGTGACCTTGTCCTGCAGCTCCCGGAGCTCCTATGACATGTACCATCTATCCAGGGAGGGGGAGGCCCATGAATGTAGGTTCTCTGCAGGGCCCAAGGTCAACGGAACATTCCAGGCCGACTTTCCTCTGGGCCCTGCCACCCACGGAGGAACCTACAGATGCTTCGGCTCTTTCCGTGACTCTCCATACGAGTGGTCAAACTCGAGTGACCCACTGCTTGTTTCTGTCATAGGTGAGGAAACCCCATATCTGTCTCATGTCCTATGATCCTAGAGCCTTAGCTGAGGAGCTTCCTGCTGATGATGGAGATAAGCATGGACAGATGCAGAGAGAAGACGAAGCTTGGGTGTGAGGGAGGGATCAGGGCACAGGATGGCAGACAGGGCACCTCCAAACCCTCCTACACGGCCTGCATGAAGGCCCGCGGCCAGGGCTCCAGGCACACAGGCAGATGGAGAAAGCGGTCAGGAGAGACCCAGAGGAGGGAGACTGGGCTCAGTTTGGGAAGATCAGAGGTTCCCTCAGCCCCTCAACATTACCCATTTCCCAGAAGCCCATCCTGGCCTCTCACCCACACAGGGATGTCATCACCAGCAACCCCTACACCCTTTACTTTTGTTTGAAGAAATATTTATTGAGGATAAATATACCTATATAGCTTACCACCTTTAACATTTTTTTTTTTTTTGAGGCAGAGTCTAGCTCTGTCCCCTATGCTGCAGTGCAGTGGCACAATCTCAGCTCACTGCAACTTCCGCCTCCTGGGTTCAAGTGATTCTCCTGCCTCAGCCACCTGAGTAGCTGGTGCTACAGGCGCGCACCACCACGCCAGGCTACTTTTTGTATTTTTAGTAGAGAGGTGGTTTCACCATGTTGGTCGAGCTGGTCTCCAACTCCTGACCACGTGATCCACCCGCATCTGCCTCCCAAAGTGCTGGGATTACAGGCATGAGCCACCACTCCCAGCCACATTTACCATTTTTAAGTGTAAAGTCTAGTGGTCATAAATACATTTATAAATATATATATATATATATGTATGTATATATATATACACACACATATATATACATATATATATGTGTATATATATATATATATATATATATATATATATATATATATATATATATATTTTTTTTTTTTTTTACCCTCCACCCTTTTCTTCCTGGCCTCTGGAAGCCACCATTCTACTCTCTACCTTCATGAGATCCACCTTTTAGCTCTGTATATGGGTGAGAAATGGGAATCTTTGTAATGACTTGCAGTTCCATCCATGTGGCTGCAAATATCAGGATGTTATTCTTTCTATGGATGAGTAGTCTCCACTGTGCGTATGTACTACATTCTCTCTATCCATTCATCCACTGATGGGCAGGTAGGTTGACTCCACATCTTGGCTACTGTGAACAGTGCTGCACCAATCATACGAGTGCAGATATCACTTCGATATATTGATTTACTTTCCTTTGGATATAAACCCAGTAGTGAAATTGCTGGATACTATGAAAGTTCTCTTTTTAGTTATTCGTTTGTTGTTTTGTTTTTGTTTTTGAGACAGTTTCCCTCTGTGCCCAGGCTGGAGTACAAGTGATGTCATCTTGGCTCATTGCAACCTCTGCCTCCTGGGTTCAAATGATTTTCCTACCTCAGCCTCCCTAGTAGCTGGGATTACAGGTGCACGCCACCATGCCTGGCTACTTTTTGGTTTTTTTAGTATAGATGGGGTTTCCCCATGTTGGCTGGGCTGCTCTCAAACTCATGACCTCAACTGAGGTGTCCGCCTCGGTCTCCCAAAGTGCCGGGATTACAGGCATGATCCACCTCACCCAACCTCTTTTTAGTTCTTTAAAGGACTTCCACACTTTTCTCCGTAAAGGCTGTACTAATTTACACTCCTACCAACAGGGTATTAGGGTTCTCCTTTCTCTACCACTTTGGCAGGATTTCCTTTGCCTGTCTTGCAGCTAAAAGCCATTTTACTTTATTTCATTTTATTTTGAGATGGAGTTTCGCTCTTGTCACCCAGGCTGGAGTGCAGTGGTGCGATCTCGGCTCACCACAACCTCCACCTCCCAGGTTCAAGCGATTCTCCTGCCTCAGCCTCCCGAGTAGCTGGAATTACAGGCACACGCCACCACGCCCGACTAATTTTTGTATTTTTAGTAGAGACAGTGTTTCTCCATGTGGGTCAGACTGGTCTCAAACTCCCGACCTTATGAGATTCACCCACCTCAGGCTCTCAAAGATCTAGGATGACAGACGTGAGCCACCACGCCCGGCCTAAAAGCCATTTTAATGGGGTGAGATGAAAACTCACTTTGATTTTAATTTGCGTTTCTCTGATGATGAGTGATACTGAGCAGTTTTTCGTATGTGGGGAAATTTCATGTCTTTTGCTCCTGTTTCAATTAAATCATTTGTTTTATTGAGTTGTTTGAGCTTCTTATATTTCTAGTTATTAATCCCATCTCAGATGCATAGTTTGCACATATTTGCTCCCAATCTGTGGGTTGTCTCTTCACTTTGTTGGTTTATTTTTAGCGGTGCAGAAGTTGCTTAGCTTGAGGTAATCCCAATGGTCTATTTTTGCTTCGATTACTTGTGTTTTGAAGGTTTAAAACAAAATGTCTTCCTTCAGACAAATGTCCTGGAGCATTTCCCCAATATTTTCTTCTACGTGTTTCATAGGTTCAGGCCTTAGACTCACATCTTTAATCCATTTTCATTTGATTTTTGTGTATGGTGACAGGTAGAGGTGCAGTTTCATTCCTCTGCATGTAGATGTCCAGGTTTCCCTGCACTGTTTATTGAAAAGACTGTCCTTTCCTGATTGTGAGTTCTTGGCACCTTTGTCAAAGTCCATTGGATGGGCTGGGCATGGTGACTGACACCTGCAATTTCAGCACTTTGGGAGCCCAAGGCGGGTGGATCACCTGAGGCCAGGAGTTCAAGATTAGTCTGGCCGACGTGATGAAACATTGTCTCCACTAAAAATATATAAATTAGCTGAGCATGGTGGTCAGCACCTATAATACCACTACTCAGGAGTTTGAGGCCAGAGAATTGATTGAACCCAGGAGGCTGTGGTGGCAGTGAACCGAGATTGCACCTCTGCACTCCAGCCTGGGTGACAGAGCGAGACTCCATCTCAAAAGAAAAAAGAAAAAAACATTGGATGTAAATGCATGGATTATATTTGTGTTGTTCATTCTGCTCCATTGTTCTATGTGCCTTTCTTCATGCCAACATCATGCTGTCTTGCTTACTACAGCTCTGTAACATATTTTGAGATCAGGTAGTGTGATGCTCCTGTTTTCTCTTTATACCTTGAAGTCTCAAGACAATGGGCGTCACATACAAAAATTATGGAAAAAAGGATCCCAGGACTCCCAGGGCCCAATATTAGATAACAGAGTGTTGGCCATGAACCAACCTCAAAGATTTCCATTGAGTAGAGGACAGACACCCTCATTTCCTCACCTCTCTCCTGTCTCATGTTCTAGGAAACCCTTCAAATAGTTGGCCTTCACCCACTGAACCAAGCTCTAAAACCGGTGAGTACAGAACCCTCTTATATCCGCTTTTGGAAACCTGGGGAGGTAGAAACCTTCGATGCAGGCATTGACTCAGCATCTCGCAGCTCTGACATTGTACGCCTGTCTTCTACCATCTCCGAACTCCAGATACTCCAACAGCGAAAGGGATCTGGGCCCAACCTAGGGCTCAGTGAAATCTCTTAATCTCTCATTTTATGGAGCTGAGACCTCCTACAAGCTAGAAGAATGATTGCCAATCTGACATCCTTCTCAGGAAAAATGCAATGTTTGTTCTGCCTGCATTCCTAACTGGAGGATAAATTCCTGGGGGCTTGAGAGAGGGAAGGGAAGGGAACATCTGATGAGGGCGAGGTGTTTTAGAGAAGTTCCACTTGCCAAGGAATGAATTACTGTTGGTCATGAAGCAACCCTGGCTGACTCAGCAGAGCAACAGCCTTGCCGTAACAGAGAACGGAGCTCATGCACGCACACTTCGACTCACTGACTCATTCAGCCACGGCCCCATGCTCAGGCTGTGCAGTGCGGAACCTTTTCCTATTGTTGCCATAACAAATTTCCACAAGATTCGTGGGTGAAAACAAAACGGTTTTTTAATTATCTTACAGTGCTGTAGCTCAAAGTAGGAAGTGCATCTTACTGGGCTAAAATCAAGGTGACAGCAAGGCTGCCTTCCCTCTGAGGATTCCAGGCAAGAATCTGCTTCTCACTTGTCCCAGCTTCTAAAGGCTCCCAGTTCCTTGGCTCCTGGTCCCCTTCCTCCTTCCTCAAAACCCACAAAGACTGGTCACATCTCATATGGCATCACTCAGTGCCTTCTTCCTTACCACACCTCTTTCTCTGAATGCTGCTCTCCCTTCTTCCTTATCTTTTGAAAACTTGGGGATTCTATTGGGTTCACCAAGATGAAAATCCCTCATAATCTCCTGGAAATCATCCAGGATACCCTTGTTTTAAGTTCAGCTGATTAGCAACCGTAATTCCATCTACAATCTTCATTCCTCCTTTCCATGTAAAATAACATATTCACAAGGTATGGAGGCTAGGACAGGGACATTTTGGGGTGGGACAGCATTCTCCTGCCTTCCACAAACAGTGAACAAGATGCATTTGGCCTCTGCCCTTGGGACACTGATATTGCAGATGGTTAAATGGGAGGGCAGAAAATGAATGCACAAGTGGATCTATAAATGAATGATCCATTGGGAAGCATCTGTGCATGAAATCTATTTTTTGTTTGTTCTTTTGTTTATTGAGACAGAGTTGCCCTCTGTCTTCCAGGCTACAGTGCAGTGTCACGATCTTGGCTCACTGCAACCTGCTTCTCCTGGATTCAAGTGATTCTCCTGCCTCCGCCTCTCGAGTAGCTGGGATTACAGGCAACTGCCACCGTGCCCGGCTAATTCTTTTTGTATATTTTTTGTAGAGAGGATGTTTCACCACGTTGGCCAAGCTTGTCTGAAACTCCCAACCTCAAGTGATCCGACCGTCTCAGCATGCCAAAGTAATGGGACTACAGGCGTGAGCCACTGTGCCCAGCCAGAATTCAAAATCAATAATAGATAATGCTGAGTGTATGATTTCAGGTGACAAAGAAGGTCTCACTATTCAGATATTTGTGACATTAATGAAAAACACGGATTGAACCCCTGAAAGATTGGCGGAAGGATTTTGCACACACAGCTGTCAGCCGTGAAGGCACAAAGGTGAAAACAATCTGATGTGGAAGGAAGAGGCTCTTCCTCAAATGCTGGGAATGATGTGGGGAGAATGACAAGATGACTGTGGAGAGACGGAGAGCACACTGGGTACACAGGAAACTAAGGAGGAACAAGGAGTGTGTGTTTGACACTCACAGCCATTGGATTCACCTCGGGGTAGCCAGGAATCCCTACATGATTAATATGACTGACATGAAAATAAGGGAGGCTCAGTTGCATAACTGGAATCTAGGAGACCGTGGAAAAGGCAATTGCCGCCCCACTGGTGAAATGTGGTGCTGATTTAGAAACTAAATGAATGAAGTAGATGGATATAAGATAGGTTTGTGAGGTAGAATCATTGACTGGAAAGGCTTGCTGGGTTTGATTTTCCTACTTGTTTAATCCTCGCTTAATTAATTTCTTTCTGAGATTTATTCATCCTACACATAAATCAATACCTGGCAAAGGAGTGACAGATATATGAGGGGTGGTGGAAATGAAGAGACCTATTATAGCATAATATACAAGTCTGTGAACGGTGGCTCACGCCTGTAACCCAGCACTGCAGGAGGCCAAGGCGGGTGGATCACATGAAGTCAGCAGTTCGAGACCAGCCTGGCCAACATGGTGAAACCCTGTCTCTAGGAAAAACACAAAAATTAGCCGAGCATGGTGGTGCATCCCTGTAATCCCAGCTCCTACTCTGGAGGATGAAGCAGGAGAATGACTTCAACCCAGGAGGTGGAGGTTGCAGTGAGTGGAGGTTGCATCACTGCACTCCAGCCTGGGTGGCACAAGGAGACTCCGTCTCAAAAAATAAAAATAAGAAATGCATAAATATAAATATAATATAACACACGCAAATGACAAAGGGACCTGAATTCCAATCATGATTTTTCTATTTCTCTATAATTACTTCTTTGATCCTTTATCTTATCCATTAGGCAATGAGCCTAAAACCTCTTCCCTATTTGGCTTTCTGTGAGCATGAGATCATATAGAAAATGTGAAAGTCCGCTGAATCCTCCAGCACAGATCCTGGAATAGAGAAAGTGCTCTGGTCATCACAAAAAAAACTTGCCCACTCACCCAAATCCCCCACCTCACCCCTACTTCCAATCACCTGTGGAGATTCAGGTAGACCATGGGGAGGTAAACATTAACACTCCTTGGAGTGAGTCCAGATCTTGGAATCAGAGATCAGCGACAGCACTAGCTCCTGCTCCCCTTTCCTACTAATTCACAGGAGGACAGGTGGTATTGAAGCAATAGATGGCCGAGGGGGTGGTCCTTCCCCCAGCCTCTCGGGTAGAACAGCAGCCTAATATGTGTCTCCCGAGATCACAAAGAGCAGCAGGTTTCACACGGGCTTCAACACTATTTCCTGGCCGTTTGACATAAGAGAATTCTATTTCGCTTTTTTTATCTTGATTTCACTTTTGTTTTCTTTCCTTGGAGAATGCAAGTTGTTTGATTCAAGAATGCTGTGGATGTAGAAACCCTAAAGCACATTCGCTGTGAATCAATCCCAGTCCAGTCTTCCCAGAGAAGACTCTAAACACCTCCTGGACTGCACCTGGGCCTATGCCAATTCCTATCACTCACCGTCACTCCAGGGAGACAGAACACACAGAGAATACGTTACATAGGCAGGTTCATTACTAACAGATAAGCAGCGAGTGACAACAGAAACCTATATTTCAATGTGAGCCAGTCCCTCAAGGCTCAGAAAAGCTCCTCGGGACATATGGAGTCACCCCATTTGCAGTGTAGCTGCGGGAAGCCAGAAAGCAGCCCAGCCTGGGTTTTGTACCCTGGAGCCACAGGAAGCACTCAGCTAAAGCACTGCATGACGTCCTCCAGGAAGAACAGGAAGACAGCCCAGGGTGTTCTGAGACGTTCCTCCTGATCTCAGGAAGTTGCTGTCTTAGGCCATTTTTGTTGCTCTAAAGGAACACTTGAGCCTCGGTAACTTCTAAAGAAAAGAGATTGGTTTGCCTCACCGTTCTGCAGGCTGTACTGGAAGCATGGCACCAGCATCTATTTCTCGTGACGGCCTCAGGCTGCTCCCACTCTGGCAGAAGGGAAGGAGGGTCTGTCTGTGCAGAGACCACAGAGATCACACGGCAAGAGAGGGAGCAAGGGGGAGGGGGAGTGATGGAGCTTCCAAGCTCTTTTTAACAACCAGCTCTCCGGGAACTAATAGAGGGGGAACTTGCTAACCCCGTCTCCTTGGGACAGCATTGATGTGTTCATGATGGATCCACCTCCATGACCCAAACACCTCTCAAGAGGCCCAACCTCCCACAGTGGGGGTGAAATTTCAATGTGAGGTTTGAAGGGGTCAAACATCTCAACTAAAGTAGTCGTATCCTCAGCACGTTCTATGGTTACTATGAGAGCTATAACTGAAAAAGCAGGAGAAAGCTGGGTCTCCTGCCATCTGGGTGCTTGTCCTAAAGAGATGTTTTATGTGGTTACCTGTCAATCAAGAAATGCGAGACAATTCATAAAGAGGAACTGCTAAGATTAGCTTCTTATTGGTGTCTCATCTTCTTCCAGGTAACCCCCGACACCTGCACATTCTGATTGGGACCTCAGTGGTCATCATCCTCTTCATCCTCCTCTTCTTTCTCCTTCATCGCTGGTGCTCCAACAAAAAAAGTAAGTCTCACGAAGCAGAGGCCAGAGAGCTCAGGGCCATGTGGGGAAGCAGGATGGGAGCACTCAGGTGTGTGTTCCTCACAAACAGGATGGTCCCTGGCCCAAGGCAGCAGCCACAGAGGCAGGACTTTCTAGAGAGGGCACCAGACTCCCTGCCCCTGCCTTCAACTCACAGACCGTTGCCTGATTCTGAACTGTATCCTCATGTCCCCTGCAGCCACTCACATCCAGGAGAAGGTTCCATGACAGGCAGAAAGTGGGAGACAGAATCAATGGGATGGGAACTCAGAGCTATTCATGGGATGGGTCCTTGAGCTCAGAGAGATAGAATGTCTGAGTCTGCTGTTGGCAACTGAGGGACCTCAGCCACCTATGGTCTCCCCCTGTATGTTGGTATCTGCTTATGAAATGAGGACCCAGAAGTGCCCTCCGAGCTGTTTTGTTGACTTCCGTCTCCTACAGATGCTGCGGTAATGGACCAAGAGTCTGCAGGGAACAGAACAGCGAATAGCGAGGTAGGTACTCCTCGGCCCGGGCTCGTGGCTACTGTTATTCCCAAAGAGTCCTGGAAAATGTGAGCACCCTCCCTCACTCAGCATTTCCCTCTCTCCAGGACTCTGATGAACAAGACCCTCAGGAGGTGACATACACACAGTTGAATCACTGCGTTTTCACACAGAGAAAAATCACTCGCCCTTCTCAGAGGCCCAAGACACCCCCAACAGATATCATCGTGTACGCGGAACTTCCAAATGCTGAGTCCAGATCCAAAGTTGTCTCCTGCCCATGAGCACCACAGTCAGGCCTTGAGGGCGTCTTCTAGGGAGACAACAGCCCTGTCTCAAAACCGGGTTGCCAGCTCCCATGTACCAGCAGCTGGAATCTGAAGGCATGAGTCTGCATCTTAGGGCATCGCTCTTCCTCACACCACAAATCTGAATGTGCCTCTCACTTGCTTACAAATGTCTAAGGTCCCCACTGCCTGCTGGAGAAAAAACACACTCCTTTGCTTAGCCCACAGTTCTCCATTTCACTTGACCCCTGCCCACCTCTCCAACCTAACTGGCTTACTTCCTAGTCTACTTGAGGCTGCAATCACACTGAGGAACTCACAATTCCAAACATACAAGAGGCTCCCTCTTAACGCAGCACTTAGACACGTGTTGTTCCACCTTCCCTCATGCTGTTCCACCTCCCCTCAGACTAGCTTTCAGTCTTCTGTCAGCAGTAAAACTTATATATTTTTTAAAATAACTTCAATGTAGTTTTCCATCCTTCAAATAAACATGTCTGCCCCCATGGTTTCGGTAATGGGACTCTTTTCTTGCCTAAGGCTTCCGGTGTTATCAGTACCATGTCCATATAATCCCATCTGTTCCCCACTGAGTTCTCATCCCCGGACTCTGAGTTTCTGGAAGCAGGGTGGAGCCTCATTTGTCTCTGAGACTCCAATTTCCATCCAAAGATGTAGCACATAGGAGGTTCCAAGGATCACGAATCATATGAACAAGTGATACTCTTACTCTCTGCAGACCTGGAAAGCTGGCAGAGTCATTCCACAATGAAACATTTGTAGAATCATAGGCCTTGTTAGTCTCATCTCCATGGGGACACATATCAACACATCATCTTTCATAATATAAATATACGGTCACTCCTCCATATCTGCGGGGTTTACAGGTGTTTATTGAACCAAGTATAAATCAAAAATATTGAGAGAAAGTATCCACAGAGTTTCAAAAAGCATAACTATGTTGAATGGACACAAATGAAGCTGTGTGTAGGCTGTATCAGGAATTATAAGTAATCTAGAGATGATTTCATGTATACAGGAGGATGTGCATAGGTTATTTGCAAACTCTGTGCCATTTCATATAAGAGGCTTGAGCATCTACAGATTTTGGTATCTGAGTGGAGATCTCAAAACCAATCACCCACGAATAGTGAAGGATGACCGTATATGACTTTTATTTCTCAAATTTAAATATAAATCATAAAAAATGTACAACTAGATAAAAACTAAGAAGTGTTTTTATAGTGTGAGTTAGATTTATTTTTTCCTAGGTGTAACCAATTGGTTTAATATTATTTATTGAGAAGACATTCTATGCCACCTTAAACCACACGGCAGCCTTTGTCAACTCTAAAGGGACTGTGTGTACATGGATGTATTTTAGACACTGTTTCTGCTAAGGGGCTCTCTGTGTCCACACTCTTGATGATGCTGCACTTTATGTAGCCTTATAGAACCCTTTAAATTTAGTAGCCAGAGCCCTCTAATTTGTTATTATAGGCTGTTTGCTTTTTTTTTCTTGAGGCGGAGTCTTGCTCTGTCGCCCAGGCTGGACTGCAGTGACACAATCTCAGCTCACTGCAACCTCCGCCTCCCAGGTTCAAGCGATTCTCGTGCCTCAGCCTCTTGAGCAGCTGGCGTTACAGGTGCCTGCCACCAGGCACGGCTAATTTTTGGATTTTTAACAGAGACACGGTTTCACTATATTGGCCAAGCTGCTCTCAAACTCCTTATCTCAGTTGATCCGCCCACCTCGGCTTCCCAACGTGCTGGGGAAAACTTGATTTTCTATAGCATTATGTTACTGGATATTTCTGTAAAATTTAAAACGAGGGAGGGAGAGAGACAGACAGAGAGCAAACTCCAGAGTTGGGACTCTGGAATCTTGGGTCATGAGACAAATTTTAGATTAAACTACAAAACTCCAGAATTTACAGGTGTGGTTTTTGCTGATAAAGTACAATTCTAAGATTGTAAATAATTGCATAATCCTTCCCTGGGAATTTAAATCATTTTAGCTGGTTCTGCTGTAATACTAGAAATACAAGCATGAAAAATTCTAATGGTTTATTAGTCACAATGACTCCGAAAACATTAATAATACCTATTAGATACTTTGCATATTACACAGGAAGAAGAGTTTGAATCTCAGATAAAAACAAAAAAAATACATGAAAAGTCTTTCATGTTAGCACAGATTTTAGGCATCTCGTGTTCGGATAAAAATACATGAAAAGTCTTTCACGTTAGCACAGATTTTAGGCATCTTGTGTTCGGGAGGTTGGATCTGAGACGTGTTGTGAGTTGGTCATAGTGAAGGACGTGAGGTGCCAATTCTAGTGAGAACAATTTCCAGGAAGCCGTGTTCCGCTCTTGAGCAAGCATCCACTGGGCCTCATGCAAGGTAGAAAGAGCCTGCGTACGTCACCCTCCCATGATGTAGTCAACATGTAAGCTGCATGGGCAGGGCGCCAAATAACATCCTGTGCGCTGCTGAGCTGAGCTGGGGCGCGGCTGCCTGTCTGCACCGGCAGCACCATGTCGCTCATGGTCGTCAGCATGGCGTGTGTTGGTGAGTCCTGGAAAGGAATAGAGGGAGGGAGCGCGGGGATGGAGATCTGGGCCCAGAGGTGGAGATATAGGCCTGGAGGTGGAGTTATGGGCCTGGAGTGGAGATCTGGGCCTGGAGTGGATATATGGGCCTGGAGATGGAGTGATGGGCCTAGAAGTGGAGATCTGGGTCTGGAGTGGAGATATGGGCCTGGAGGTGGAGATATGGGCCTGGAGTGGAGATCTGGGCCTGGAGTGGAGATAGGAACCTGGAGGGGAGATATGAGCCTGGAGTGAAGATATTGGCCTGGGATGGAGATATGGGCCTGGAGTGGAGACATGGGCCTGGAGGTGGAGATATGGGCCTGGAGGTGGAGACATGGGCCTAGAGGTGGATATCTGGGCCTGGAGTGGACATATGGGCCTAGGATGGAGATATGGGCCTGGGTGTGGAGATATGGGCTTGGGGTGGAGATATGGGCCTGGATTGGAGATATGGGTCTAGGGTGGAAATATTGGCCTGGAGTGGAGATATGGGCCTGGAGTGGAGATATGGGCTTGGGGTGGGGATAGGGGCCTGGGGTGCGGATATGGGCCTGCAGGCTGGGTCTCTACACAGCCGACAGCCCTGTTCTTGGGTGCAGGCTGGCACTGAGGGTGAGTTTCCCTTCAGCCCAGCAAGGGCCTGGCTACCAAGACTCACAGCCCAGTGGGGGCAGCAAGGGAGTCCTGGTTTGCCTGCAGATGGATGGTCCATCATGATCTTTCTTTCCAGGGTTCTTCTTGCTGCAGGGGGCCTGGACACATGAGGGTGAGTCCTTCTCCAAACCTTCGGGTGTCATCTCCCCACATAAGAGGATTTTCCTGAAACAGGAGGGAAGCCCGGTGGGGGATTTTCTTATAAACAAGGATGAGGAGACCCTGGGGTGCTCAGCCCACAGTTCCGACCTTGCCCTCCCCAGCCTTCCTTTCCCTTGGCTGAGTCAGGTTCTGTGGGAACCCGGGAGGGTAGACTGGGGTCCTCCAAGCTGGGCTGTGCGACTGGGATGTGGTGTCACTGGCAGAGGAAGGGAGCAAAGCAGTGCTAGGAACAGCAGGCCTCTGAGGACAAAGGTGTAACTCACACCCTCCAGCGTTTCCATGACGGTAGGGGCTGCAGTGTGGCTGCTGTCATTCTACCTCAGAGGTGGGGGAACCCCAGCCAGGGCCCTGACCTTCCAAATCCTCTGTTGGGGGCTCAGTTGTGTATTGTGGTTCACACATTGGCTGATATTCCATTCACAAAGAACATGCCCTCGACTCCATGTCTATTTGTGTTGTTTTATGTGAGTAATCTTGCAGGATTAAAATCTAGTAGGAGTCCCTTACTCAGCACTTGCTCAAAGTTCTCAGCTGACACTTTTGTTGTAGAGAGACGCCAAGTCTATGCGGGGTGGGTCCTTCCCGTAGCCATGGGCACCCAAGTGTGGTAGGAGCCTTAGAAACGAGGAAAGTGGGGAGAATCTTCTGAGCACTGGCAGGGAGGGGCGGCTCCACATCCTCCTTTCTAAGGTGGCGCCTCCTTCTCCCCCAGGTGGTCAGGACAAGCCCTTGCTGTCTGCCTGGCCCAGCGCTGTGGTGCCTCGAGGAGGACATGTGACTCTTCTGTGTCGCTCTCGTCTTGGGTTTACCATCTTCAGTCTGTACAAAGAAGATGGGGTGCCTGTCCCTGAGCTCTACAACAAAATATTCTGGAAGAGCATCCTCATGGGCCCTGTGACCCCTGCACACGCAGGGACCTACAGATGTCGGGGTTCACACCCACGCTCCCCCATTGAGTGGTCAGCACCCAGCAACCCCCTGGTGATCGTGGTCACAGGTCAGAGGACTCATGTCTGGGCTTCTCCTTCTCCCACTTCCTGAATCCCAGAGCATCTGGTGGGGGTGTCCACCAGGGTCCAATCATCCAGGCCCTGACTGTATTTGGTGTCAATGGGGATTGAATACAGGGGAATGGGTGCTGTGGTGGAAAGAGTAACTGTCGGCAGCATGGCTATATTGTAATCCTTGGAGCCTGTGACTATTTATGTTATAGGACATGGGACTGAAGGGGAAGATGGAGTTCAGGTTGTTGATGAGTTGACCTTGAGATGGGGAGACGACCTGGACTCTCCCACTGGGCTCAGTGTAATCACAAGGGTCCACATGAGAGGAGGAGGAAGAGGAGAGTGGGGATTAGAGCAGCGTAGTGGGAGGGAGAGTCCACCAGCCACTGCGGGCTTTGAAAGTGGAGGAAGGCCAGAAGCCACGGAATGCAGGTGGCCTTTAGGGGCTGGAGAAGTCAATGGAACTGATTCTCCCGAGTCTCCAGAGGGAATGCAGCCCTGCAGATGCCTTGATTGTAGCCCAGGAAGAACAGGGTCTGATTTCTGTCAACAGAAGTGTTCTCTCCCGCCGCCGTGTTTGTGATAATTTTCTGCAGCAACAACAGGAAACAACACAGGAATCCAGGTCAAGGACAAGTTAAAAAACCAAACAAGAGGGTTGGCTACCCTAAGGTCAGCAAGGGTGCACTGCTGATGCCACCACCAGGCTGGAGCCGCATAGGGAGGGATCCACAGGGAGAGTCGGGGGTGGAGGGTGAGAGAGAGAGAGAGCATTAGGTCATAGAGCAGGGGAGTGAGTTCTCAGCTCAGGTGTGAGGGGAGCTGTGACAAGGAAGAACCTCCCTGAGGAAACTGCCTCTTCTTCCAGGTCTATTTGGGAAACCTTCACTCTCAGCCCAGCCGGGCCCCACGGTTCGCACAGGAGAGAACGTGACCTTGTCCTGCAGCTCCAGGAGCTCATTTGACATGTACCATCTATCCAGGGAGGGGAGGGCCCATGAACCTAGGCTCCCTGCAGTGCCCAGCGTCAATGGAACATTCCAGGCTGACTTTCCTCTGGGCCCTGCCACCCACGGAGGGACCTACACATGCTTCGGCTCTCTCCATGACTCACCCTATGAGTGGTCAGACCCGAGTGACCCACTGCTTGTTTCTGTCACAGGTGAGGAAAGCCCATGCCTGTCCCATGTCCTGTGATCCTAGAGCCTTAGCTGAGGAGCTTCCTGCTGATGATGGAGAGAAGCATGGACAGATGCAGAGAGAACACGCAGCATGGTGTGAGGGAGGGATCAGGGCACAGGATGGCAGACAGGGCACCTCCAAACCCTCCTGCACGGCCTGCATGGAGGCCCGCGGCCAGGGCTCCAGGCACCCAGGCAGATGGAGAAAGTGGTCAGGACAGACCCAGAGGAGGGAGACTCGGCTCAGTTTGGGGAGATCAGAGGCTCCCTCAGACCCTAAACCTTACCCATTTCCCAGAAGCCCATACTGGCCTCTCACCCACACAGAGATGTCATCACCAGCAACCCCTACACCCTTTTCTTTCCGTTTGAAAAAACATTTATTTAGGTTAAATGTAACTATATAATTTGCCACCTTTACCATTTTTAAAAGTAAAATCTAGTGGTCATAAATTCCTTTATATGCAGGGTGCAGTGGCTCACAGTTATAATCTCGGTGCTTTGAGAGGCCAAGGAAGGTGGATCATTTAAGATCAGAGGCTCGAGATCAGCCTGGCCAACATGAGGGAAATTCATCTTTACTAAACAGACAAGAAAAATTGGCTGGGCATGCTGGCATGCACCTGTATTCCTAGCTACATGGGAGGCTGAGGCAGGAGAAGTACGTAAGCCCAGGAGGCAGAGGTTGCACTGAGCTGAGATCAGGCCACTGCACTGCAGCCTGGGAGACAGAGAGAGATTCTGTCTCTAAATAAATAAATACATCTATATTCTTTTTTATTGTTGTTGTTACACTCCACCCTTTACTTCCTGCCCTCTGGTAGCCACCATTCTACTCTCTACCTTCATGAGATCCACCTTTTAGCTCCTGTATATGGGTGAGAAATGGGAATCTTTGCAATGACCTCCAGTTCCATCCATGTGGCTGCAAATGTCAGGATGTTATTCTTTCTACGGATGAGTACTCTCCACTGTGTGTGTGTACTACATTCTCTCTATCCATTCACCCACTGACGGGCAGGTAAGTTGACTCCACATCTTGGCTACTGTGAACAGTGCTGCACCAATCGTATGAGTGCAGATATCACTTCGATACACTGATGTCCTTCCCTTTGGGTTTACACCCAGTAGTGGAATTGCTAGATCCTATCAACAGGGTACCAGGGTTCTCCTTTCTCTACCACCTTGCCAGCATTTATTTTGTCTGTGTTTCAGATAAAAGCCACTTTAATGGGATGAGATGATAGCTCACTGTGATTTCAATTGGCATGATTAGTGATACTGAGCACTTTTTCATGTACATGTTCGCCATTTGTACGTTTTGTTTGTTGAGAAATGTCTGTTCAGGTCTTTTACTAATTGTTAAATTAAATTCATTGTTTTATACCGTTGCTTGAGTTTTATGTATATTCTAGTTATTAATCCCCTCTCAGATGCATACTTCACAAATATTTTCTCCCAATTTGTCTCTTCTTCACTTTGTTGGTTGCTTCCTTTGCGGTGCAGAAGCTGCTTACTTTGATGTAATCCCGAAGGTCTATTATTTTGTTTTGATTTCTTGTGTTTTTGAGATTTCAAATAAAATGTCTTTCCTCAGACAAATGTCCTGGAGCATTTCCCCACTCTTTCCTTTTAGACGCTTAATGGTTTCAGGCCTTAAGTGTTTCTTCCATTTTCATTTGATTTCTGTGTATGGTGAGAGGTAGAGGTGCAGTTTCATCAACTGCATGTAGATACCAGTTTTCCCTGCTCCATTTATTGAAAAGACCGTCGTTTCCTGATTGCAGGTTCTTGGCACGTACAATCGTCAAAGTCCATTGGATGTGAATGCATGAATTATATCTGTGTTCTTCATTCTGCTCCATTGCTCTAAGGGCCTTTATGCCAATGTCATGCTGTTGTGCTTACTACAGCTTTGTAACATATTTTTAAGTCAGGGAGTGTGAGGCCTCCAGCACCTGTTTTGTCTTTATACCTCGAAATCTCAGGACACTGGGCATCATTTAACAATGATGATGGAGAAGGGGACGCCAGGACTCCTAGGGCCCAACATTAGATAACAGAGTGTTGGCCATGAACCAACCTCAAAGATTTCCTTTGAGTAGAAGACAGGCATCCTCATTTCCTCACCTCTCTCCTGTCCTGTGTTCTAGGAAACTCTTCAAGTAGTTCATCTTCACCCACTGAACCAAGCTCCAAAACTGGTGAGTAAAGATCCCTCTTATCTCTGCTTTTGGAAACCTGGGGAGGTTGGTATCTTGGATTCAAGCATTGGCTCAGCACCTCCCAGCTCTGTGATTGTGGGCCTGTCTTCTAACATCTCTGACCCCCAGACACTACAACAGCGAAGGGTATCTGAGGACAGCAAAGGGCTCAGTGAAGTCTCTTCATTTCAAATTTCTGCAGCTGAGACCTCCTCCAAGCTAGACGGACGAGTACAAATCTGACATCCTTCTCAGGGATAAAGTGGTGTTTTTTCTGCCTGCATTCCAAATTGGAGGATAAATTTGAGGGGACTTGAGAGAGGGAGGGGAAGGGAACATCTGATGAGGGAAAGGTGATTTAGAGAAGTTCCACTTGCCAAGGAATGAGCCCCTGTTGGTCATGATGCGACCTTGGCTGAGTCAGCAGAGCAAGAGCCTTGCAGTAAGAAGGAACGTAGTTCATCCACAAATATGACACTTCCACTTACTCACTTATTCAGCCACTGCCCTGTGCTCTGACTGTACAGTGTGGAACCCTTTCCTGCTGTTGCCATAATAAATCTCCACAAACTTCATGGATGACAACAACACAGCTTTTAAAATTATCTTACAGTGTTATAGCTCAGAAATATGAAATGCATTTCACTGGGCTAAAATCAAGGTGACTGCGAGGCTGCCTTTTCTCTGAAGGTTCCAGGCGAGAATCGGCTTTTCACATTTCCCAGCTCCCAGAGGTTCCCACGTTCCTTGGCATCTGGTCCCCATCCTCCTTCCTCGAAGCCCACAAAAGCTCATCACATCTCTCACGTGGCATCACTCAGATCCCTCTTCCTTACCTCACCTCTTTCTCTAAGTGTTGCTCTGACTTTTTCTTCCTCTTTTAAAGACTTTGGGATTCTATTGAGTTTACCAAGATAATCCATCACAATCTCCCTAAAATCACCCAAGATAACCTCTTTTTAAGTTCAGCTGATTAGCAACCATAATTCCATCTGCAATCTTTATTCCTCCTTTCATGTAAAATAACATATTCACAAGCTATGGAGGCTAGGACAGGGACATTTTGGGGGTGGGCCAGCATTCTCCTGCCTTCCACAAATGGTAAACACGATGCATTTGGCCTCTGCTCTTAGGACACTGACATTGCAGATGGGCAAATGGGAGGGCAGAATATGAATGCACAAGTGGACCAGTAATGATTGATCCATTGGGAAGCATCCGTGCATGAAATCTATTTACCTATTTATTTATCTATTTATCTATTTATGTATTTATTTATTTGCGGCGAAGTCATTCTCTGTCCCCGGGCTGGAGTGCAGTGGCATGACCTCAGCTCACCACAACCTCCGCCTCCCGGGTTCAGGCGATTCTCCTGCCTCAGCCTCCTGACTAGTTGTGATTCCAGTCCCCTCCACCACACCCAGCTAATATTCTTTTATATTTTTTAGTAGAGATGGAGTTTCACCATGTTGCGCAGATTGTCTCCAACTCCCAACCTCAAGTGATCCGACCGTCTCAGCATCCCAAAATGCTGGGACTCAAGGTGTGAGACACTGCGCCCAGCCGAAATTTAAAATAAATAATAAAGAATTCTAAGTGTATAATTTCAGGAGACAGAGAAAGTCTCACTAATCAGATAATATTTGTGACCATAATGAAAAAAAAAAGTAGATTCAACCCCTGGAAGATTGGCGGAAGGATTTTCCACACACAGCTGTCAGCCGTGAAGGCACAAATGTGAAAACAATCTGATGTGGAAGGAAGAGGCTCTGCATTCAAATGCTGGGAATGACGTGGGGAGAATGACAAGACGACTGTGGAGAGACGGAGAGCACTCTGGGTACACAGGAAACTAAGGAGGAACAAGGAGCGTGTGTTTGACACTCACAGCCATTGGATTCACCTCGGGGTAGCCAGGAATCCCTACATGATTAATATGACTGACATGAAAATAAGGACGCCCAAGTGCGTAACTGGAATCTAGGAGACCGTGGAAAAGGCAATTCCCGCCCCACTGGTGAAATGTGGTGCTGATTTAGACACTAAATGAATGAAGTAGATGGGTATAAGATATGTCTGTGAGGTAGAATCATTTGTAGGGAGGGCTTGCTGGATTTGATAATGCCTACTTATTTAATTTTGAATATATTAATTTCTTTCTGAGATTTATTTTTCCTACATGTAAATCAATATCTGGCAGAGGAGTGATTGATAGATAGATGAGGGGTGGTGCAAATGAAGGGACTTATTATAGCATAATATACAAGTCTGTGAATGGGAGCTTACGCCTGTAACCCAACACTTTGGGAGGCCAAGGCGTTTGGATCACTTGAGGTCAGGAGTTTGAGACCAGCCTGGCCAACATGGAGAAACCCCATGCTCTTTTTAGCAACCAGTCCTAGGGACCTCATGGAGAACTTGCCAACCACGTCTCATGGGGACAGCATTAATGTATTCATGATGGATCCACCCCCATAACTGGAACGTCTCTCAATAGGCCCAGCCTCCCACACTGCGAGATAAGTGTCAACGTGAGGTTTGGCGGGGTCAAACATCCAAACTATAGCAGTGGTATCCCCAGCATGTTCTCTGATTATTTTGAGAACTATAACTGAGAAAGCAGGAGAAAGCTGGGTATCCTGCCATCGGGGAACTTGTCCTAAACAGATGTTGTATGTGCTTAGCTGGCAACCAAGAAATGAGAGACAATCCATAAAGAGGAACTGCTATAATTAGCTTCTTATTGGATTCCCACCTTCCCCCAGGTATCCGCAGACACCTGCACATTCTGATTGGGACCTCAGTGGCTATCATCCTCTTCATCATCCTCTTCTTCTTTCTCCTTCATTGCTGCTGCTCCAACAAAAAGAGTAAGTCTCACGAAGCAGAGGTCAGAGAGCTCAGGACCATGTGGGGAAGCAGGATGGGAGCACACTGGTGTGTGTTCCTGACTGGCAGGATGGTCCCTGGACCAAGGCAGGAGCCACAGAGGCAGGGCTTTCTAGAGAGAGCACCAGACACCCTGCCCCTGCCTTCAGCTCACAGACCATTGCCTGATTCTGAACTGTATCCTCACGTCCCCTGCAGCCACTGACATCCAGGAGAAGGTTCCATGACAGGCAGAAAGGGGAGACAGAATCACTGGGATGGGAACTCAGAGCTATTCATGGGATGGGTCCTTGAGCTCAGAGAGATAGAATGTCTGGGTCTGGCTGATGACAGCTGAGGGACCTCAGGCACCTACGGCCTCCCGCTGTGTGTTGGTGTCTGCTCATGAAATGAGGACCCAAAAGTGCCCTTCCAGCTGTTTTGATGACTTCTATCTCCTACAGATGCTGCTGTAATGGACCAAGAGCCTGCCGGGGACAGAACAGTGAACAGGGAGGTAGGTTCTCCTCAGCCCAGCCTCATGGATTGAGTCTCATTCCCTAATAGTCTTGAAGAATGTGAGCACCCTCCCTCACTCAGCATTTCCCTCTCTCCAGGACTCTGATGATCAAGACCCTCAGGAGGTGACATATGCACAGTTGGATCACTGCGTTTTCACACAGACAAAAATCACTTCCCCTTCTCAGAGGCCCAAGACACCTCCAACAGATACCACCATGTACATGGAACTTCCAAATGCTAAGCCAAGATCATTGTCTCCTGCCCATAAGCACCACAGTCAGGCCTTGAGGGGATCTTCTAGGGAGACAACAGCCCTGTCTCAAAACCGGGTTGCTAGCTCCCATGTACCAGCAGCTGGAATCTGAAGGCATCAGTCTTCATCTTAGGGGATCGCTCTTCCTCACACCACAAATCTGAACATGCCTCTCTCTTGCTTACAAATGTCTAAGGTCCCCACTGCCTGCTGGAGAGAAGACACACTCCTTTGCTTAGCCCACAATTCTCTATTTCACTTGACCCCTGCCCACCTCTCCAACTGAACTGGCTTACTTCCTAGTCTACTTGAGGCTGCAATCACACTGAGGAACTCACAATTCCAGACATACAAGAGGCTCCCTCTTAACATGGCACTGAGACACGTGCTGTTCCACCTTCCCTCATGCTGTTTCACCTTTCCTCAGACTATTTTCCAGCCTTCTGTCAGTCAGCAGTGAAACTTATAAAATTTTTTGTGATTTCAATGTAGCTGTCTCCTTTTCAAATAAACATGTCTGCCCTCATTGCTTTAGGTAATGTGACACTATTCGCTGAAAGAAACCGCTGTTATCATTACCATGTCCACATAACCCCATCTGTTATCCACTGGGTTCTCTCCCCTGGACTCTGAGCTTCTGGAAGCAGGGTGGAGCCTCATTTGTCTCTGGGACTCCAATTTCCATCCAAAGATGCAGCACATAGGAGGTTCCAAGGATCATGAATCACATGAACAAGTGATATTCTTACTCTCTGCAGACCTGGAAAGCTGGCAGAGTCATTCCACGATGAAACATTTGTAGAGTCATAGGCCTTGTTAGTCTCATCTCCATGGGGACACATATCAACACATCATCTTTCATGCTATATATATATATACAGTCGCTCCTCCGTATCTGTGGGGTTTACAGGTGTTTATTGAACCAACTATAAATAAAAAATATTCAGAGAAGAAAATCCACAAACTTTCAAAAAGCAAAACTATGTTGAAGGGACACAAATGAAGCAGTGTGTAGGCCATATCAGGAATTATAAGTAATCTAGAGATGATTTCATGTATACAGGAGGATGTGCATGGGTTATATGCAAGCGCTGTGCCATTTCATGTAAGAGGCTTCAGCATCTGCAGATTTTGGTATCTGAGTGGAGATCCTGAAACCAATCACCCAGGAATAGTGAAGGATGACCGTATAAAACTGTTATTTCTAAATTTTAAATATAAATCATAAAAAAATTATAAACTAGATAAAAACAAGAAGTGTTTTTATAGTGTGAGAATAAGTTTAGATTTATTTTTTCCTACGTGTAACCCTTTGGTTTAATATTATTTATTGAGAAGACATTCTATGCCACCTTAAACCACAGGGCAGCCTTTGTCAACTCTAAAGGGACTGTGTGTACACGGATGTATTTTAGACACTGTTTCTGCTAAGGGGCTCTCTGTGTCCACACTCTTGAGGATGCTGCACTTCATGTAGCCTTATAAAACCCTTTAAATTTAGTAGCCAGAGCCCTCTAATTTGTTATTATAGGCTACTTGCTATTTTTTTTTTCTTAAGGCGGAATCTTGCTCTGTCACCCAGGCTGGACTGTAGTAGTGCAATCTCAGCTCACTGCAAACTCCGCCTCCCAGGTTCAAGCGATTCTCGTGCCTCAGCCTCTTGAGTAGATGGCATTACAGGTGTCTGCCACCAGGCACGGCTAATTTTTGAATGTTTAGCAGAGACACGGTTTCACTATGTTGGCCAGGCTGCTCTCAAACTCCTCATCTCAGTTGATTCGCCCACCTCGGCTTCCAAACATGCTGGGGGAAACTTGATTTTCTATAGCATTATGTTACTGGATATTTCCGTAAAATTTAAAATGAGGGAGGGACAGAGACAGAGAGGGAGCAAACTCCAGAGGTGGGACTCTGGAATCTTGGGTCATGAGACAAATTATAGATAAAACTATAAAAATCCAGAATTTACATGTGTGGTTTTTGCTGATAAAGTACAATTCGAAGATTGTAAATAATTGCATAATCCTTTCCTGGGAATTTAAATCATTTTAACTGGTTTTGCTGTAATACTAGAAATACAAGCATGAAAAATTCTAATGGTTTATTAGTCACAATGACTCCGAAAACATTAATAATACCTATTAGATATTTTGCATATTACACATGAAGAAGAGTTTGAATCTCAGATAAAAACAATAAAAATACATGAAAAGTTTTTCACGTTAGCAGAGATTTTAGGCATCCTGTGTTCCGGAGGTTGGATCTGAGACGTGTTTTGAGTTGGTCATAGTGAAGGACACGAGGTGTCAATTCTAGTGAGAACAATTTCCAGGAAGCCGTGTTCTGCTCTTGAGCGAGCACCCACTGGGCCTCATGAAAGGTAGAAAGAGCCTGCGTACTTCACCCTCCCATGATGTGGTCAACATGTAAACTGCATGGGCAGGGCGCCAAATAACATCCTGTGCGCTGCTGAGCTGAGCTAGGGGTGCGGCCGCCTGTCTGCTCCGGCACCACCATGTCACTCATGGTCATCAGCATGGCGTGTGTTGGTGAGTCCTGGAAGGGAATAGAGGGAGGGAGCGCGGGGATGGAGATCTGGTCCCAGAGGTGGAGATATAGGCCTGGAGGTGGAGTTATGGGCCTGGAGTGGAGATCTGGGCCTGGAGGGGATATATGGGCCTAGAGATGGAGTGATGGGCCTAGAAGTGGAGATCTGGGTCTGGAGTGGAGATATGGGCCTGCAGTGGAGATATGGGCCTGGAGTGGAGAGAGGAACCTGGAGAAGAGATAGGAACCTGGATGGGAGGTAGGAGCCTAGGGTGGAGATATGGGACTGGAGTGGAGATATGGGACTGGAGTAGAGATATGGGCCTGGAGTGGAGTTATGGGCCTGGAGTGAAGTTATGGGCCTGGAGGTGGAGATATGGGCCTGGAGTGGAGATATGGGCCTGGAGGTGCAGATATGGACCTGGAGTGGAGATATGGCCCTGGAGTGGAGATGTGGGTCTGGAGTGGAGATATGGGCCTGGAGGTGGAGATAAGGGCCTGGAGTGGAGATATGGGCCTGGAGTGGAGATATGAGCCTGGAGATGGAGATATGGGCCTGGAGTGGAGATATGGGCCTGGAGGTGGAGATATGGGCCTGGAGTGGAGATATGGGCCTGGAGTGGAGATATGGGCGTGGGGTGGAGATATGGGCCTTGAGTGGAGATATGGGACTGAAGTGGAGATATGGGTGTGGGGTGGAGATATGGGACTGGAGTGCAGATATGGGCATGGGGTGGAGATATGGGACTGGAGTGGAGATATGGGCGTGGGGTGGAGATATGGGACTGGAGTGGAGATATGGGCGTGGGGTGGAGATATGGGCCTGGAGTGGAGATATGGGACTGGAGTGGAGATATGGGCGTGGGGTGGAGATATGTGCCTGGAGTGGAGATATGGGCGTGGGGTGGAGATATGGGCCTGGAATGGAGATATGGGCCTGGAGTGGAGATATGGGCGTGGGGTGGAGATATGGGACTGGAGTGGAGATATGGGCCTGTTGTGGAGATATGGGCTTGGAGTGGAGATATGATCCTGGAGTGTAGTTATGGGCCTGGAGGTGGAGATCTGGGCCCGGGGTGGAGATATGGGCCTGGAGTGGAGATATGGGCCTGGGGAGGAGATATGGGCCTGGAGTGGAGATATGGGCCTGGACTGGAGTTATGGGCCTAGGGTGGAGATCTGAGCCTGGATTGGAGATGTGGGCCCAGATTGGCTATATGGGCCTAGGGTGGGAATATCAGCCTGGAGTGGAGATATGTGCCTGGAGTGGAGATATGGGCTTGGGGTAGGGATATGGGCCTGGAGGCTGGGTCTCTGCACAGCCGAGAGCCCTGTTCTTGGGTGCAGGTAGGCACTGAGTGTGAGTTTCCCTTCGGCCCAGGAAGGGCCTGGCTACCAAGACTCACAGCCTAGTGGGGATAGCAAGGAAGGCCTGGTTTGCCTGCAGATGGATGGTCCATCATGATCTTTCTTTCCAGCGTTCTTCTTGCTGCAGGGGGCCTGGCCACATGAGGGTAAGTCCTTCTCCAAACCTTAAGGTGTCATCTCCCCACATAAGAGGATTTTCCTGAAACGGGAGGGAAGTCCTGTCAGGGAGTCTCTCTTAAACTAGAAAGAGGGGACCCTGGGGTGCTTGGCCCACAGTTCCGACCTTGCCTCCCTGGCCTTTCATTTCCTTGGCAGAGTCAAGTTCTGTGGGGACCAGGGTTACACTAGGGTGCTCAAAGCTGGGGTGTGTGGTGGGAAAGTGGTAGGAACAGCAGATCCTCTGAGGACAAAGGTGTTACTCACACACTTCAGCGTTTCCATGACGGTAGGGGCTGCAGTGTGGCTGCTGTCATTCTACCAGAAGAGGTGGGAAACCACAGCCATGGCCCTGACATTCCAAATCCTCTGATGGGGGCTCAGTTGTTTATTTTCATTCAGGCATCTGCTGATATTCCATTCTCAAAGGACATGCCCTCCACCCCATGTCTACCCTGTGTTGTTTTATGTGAGTAATCTTACAGTATTAAAATCTAGTAGGAGTCTCTTACTCAGCACTTGCTCAAAGTTCTCAGCTGACACTTTTGTTGTAGGGAGACAGCTTGTCTTTGTGGGATGAGTCCTTCCTTTAGCCCTAGGCACCAAGGTGTGATAGCAGCCATAGAAATGTGGAAAGTGGGGAGAATCTTCTGAGCACAGGGAGGGAGGGGCGGCTCCACATCCTCCTCTCTAAGGCGGCGCCTCCTTCTCCCCAAGGTGGTCAGGACAAGCCCTTGCTTTCTACCTGGCCCAGCCTTGTGGTGCCTCCAGAACATGTGACTCTTCGGTGTCACTCTAATCTTGGGTTTAACAACTTCAGTCTGTACAAGGATGATGGGGTGCCTGTCCCTGAGCTCTACAACAGAATATTCTGGAAAAGCCTTTTCATGGGCCCTGTGACCCCGTCACACACAGGGACCTATAGATGCCGGGGTTCACACACACACTCCCCCAGTGGGGGGTCGGCACCCAGCAACCCCCTGGTGATCGTGGTCACAGGTCAGAGGGCTCCTGTCTGGGATTCTCCTTGTCCCACCTCCTGAATCCCAGAGCTTCTGGTAGGCATGTCCTTGAGGGTCCCTTCACGCAGGCCCTGACTGTATTTGGGGTAAAGGGGGATTGAATACAGGGAAATGGGTGCTGTGGTGGGAAGAATAATTGTCCCCAGTGATGACTACATTCTAATCCCTGGAGTCTGTGACTATTTATGTTATAGGGGAAGGGACTGAAGGGGAAGATGGAGCTCAGGTTGTTGATGAGTTGACCTTGAGATGGGGAGAAGGCCTGGACTGTCCCCCTGGGCTCAGTGTAATGACAAGTGTCCACAGGAAAGGAGGAGGAAGAGGGGAGTGGGGATTAGAGCAGCGTAATGGGAGTCTCCATCAGCTTTGAAGGTGGAGGAAGGCCAGGAGCCATGAATGCAGGTGGCCTATAGAGGCTGGAAAAGTCAAGGAACTGATTCTCCTGAGTCTCCAGAGGGAACGAAACCCTACAGGTGGCTTGATTTTAGCCCAGGAAAAACAGGGCCCGACTTCTGCCTCCAGAAATGGAAGGGGTCAGTGTGCTCTCTCCTGCTGCCATGCTGCTGATAATTTTCTACAGCAGCAACAGGAAACCAACACCGGAACCCAGCTCGAGGAAAAGTTAAGAAAGGACACAAGGATAGCCGGGCGTGGTGGCAGGTGCATGTAATCCTAGCGACTTGGGAGGCTGAGGGCAGGAGAATCACTTGAACCCAGGAGACAGAGGTTGCAGTGAGCCTAGACCACACCACTTCACTCCAGCCTGGGCAAAGGAGTGAGACTCTGTCTCCAAAATTAATTAATTAAAGAAACCAAACAAGGAGAAGGTTGGCTACACCAAGATCAGCAAGTGAGGGATGATGATGCCACCACCAGGCTCCATCCACATAGGGAGCGGTTGATACTCCTCCAACCAGCACCAGGAGCCAGCCTATGGAAGCTGGCACAGGCATGGCAAGAGTGGCTCCCAGTCCCCACCAGGAACAGGGTGTGTGGACACTGGTGCCTGCCTTACTGATCAGTTCATACCTCCTGCCAAGGATTCCAATTCGACCAAAAGAGATTGAACCAGGCTGCTAAGAGCCTGGATGTGCAGCCTATCCTGGTTCCTCTTCCACCCCCACATATACAGCAGGAAAGACATTAGTTCAAAATAGATACAACAGCCGAAGAGATGAGGCTGAGCCCAGCGGCAAGGGAATCAGAGGTTACTAGAGACAGAGGGACAGAGAAGAGGGAGGGAGACAGATGGAAGGACCTGCACCAGGAGTTATGGGCACAGAAAAGAACATGAAGACACAGAGAGGAAGGAGAGAGACAGACACCAGGGAGGGGAAGCCTCACTCAATCCAAGTGCCATGGATGGGATGATAAAGAGAGACACCTTCTAAATTCACAAACTCTCTTCCTAGGATTCCGCAGAAAACCTTCCCTCCTGGCCCACCCAGGTCCCCTGGTGAAATCAGAAGAGACAGTCATCCTGCAATGTTGGTCAGATGTCATGTTTGAGCACTTCCTTCTGCACAGAGAGGGGACGTTTAACCACACTTTGCGCCTCATTGGAGAGCACATTGATGGGGTCTCCAAGGGCAACTTCTCCATCGGTCGCATGACACAAGACCTGGCAGGGACCTACAGATGCTACGGTTCTGTTACTCACTCCCCCTATCAGTTGTCAGCGCCCAGTGACCCTCTGGACATCGTGATCACAGGTGAGAGTGTCCAGACATTCTTCTCATTGTCATTGGGATGCAGAGTGAATGATCCAGGACTTGGAGGCCCAGGTGGTTGTAAGGAAGATGAGCTTGGTATTCTTATGGAGAGAGACTGACTTGGTGAGGTCTGTACCAACAGAGACAGAGAAACAGGAGACACAAGTACAGACCAGGTGTCATAACAGAGGACACACACAGGGGCCTTTCCGAGAGTTAGAAAAGACAGAAGGAGTTAAAGGAGACAGACAGACAGACATGTCCCAGAGAGAGGTGTCCCTCCATGCTGACTTTGCTCAGAGACCTGGCACATGTTAGAAGTTTCATTTCTGTTTTACCTCCACAAAGTGTTCTCTACCAGGAGAACCCAAGGACACCCATATTTCTGACCTGAGTTGGGACCTATGGCCTCAGGCCTTCTGGCACCTACAGATGCCATGTTTATTCTGACACCTCTGCCTTCCAGGTAATGGAGAGTAATCGTCCCAGGATATCATGGCCCCAGAACACCAACCCCTGTATGCTGTGTGAACTTGTAGTCTCCAGACTGGATTCTGAGGCTCACATTCCAAATAACCCCACATATGAGAGGATCACTGAGAGGCACAGAGAGAAATCAGGAACACCAAAAAGCAAAGACATAAACACACAGAGAATGAGCCAGAGGAAGGAGATTGAGAGACTCACAGACACATAAAGAGAGAGAAAAGAGGGCAGAGGAGTGGTGAGAATGATGGAAGGGAGCAGAGAAAAGCACTAAAATTAGAGTCATGAGGGAGAGGCACAAGGACATAGAAAGATGGAGATGTGGGGATGAATTGCAGAGATTCCAAAGAGAACTAGAGAGACCGAGAGGCAGAGCAAGACAGATGATAGATGGATAGATATAGATAGATGATAAATAGGTAGATGATAGATAATAGGTTATAGATACATAGATGATGATTGATTGATTCATTAATAGATGAGACATAGAGATGATGATGATGAAGACAGATAGATAATACATAGAGATAGAGAGGCAGACATAGAGAAATCATAGAGAGAGAGAGATGATACACAGATATAGATAATAGATGATTGATGGATAGATAGAAAATTGATAGATAAATAGATGATATATAGATATAGATGACAGGTAGAGAATTTGTAGATAGGCACGGAATAGATAAATAGATAGATCGATAGATAATAGATAGAAATATGCAGAAAGTTATGAACAGGACACAAAGTGAGAAACTCAGAATTAAAAAAAGTAACATCAAGTGAACCAATCCAAGGAGAGTCAGAGAGAATAAAACAATCCAAAAAGAGAAAACATATCTAGAGGTGGGGAAGTGAGGTCAGAGACCTAGAGAGACAGAGAAGGTGGAAGGAGGAAATAGACGTGAAGAGAGATGGGGTGGAGGGTGAGAGAGAGAGAGAGAGAGCATTAGGTCACAGAGCAGGGGAGTGAGTTCTCAGCTCAGGTGAAGGGAGCTGTGACAAGGAAGATCCTCCCTGAGGAAACTGCCTCTTCTCCTTCCAGGTCTATATGAGAAACCTTCTCTCTCAGCCCAGCCGGGCCCCACGGTTCTGGCAGGAGAGAGCGTGACCTTGTCCTGCAGCTCCCGGAGCTCCTATGACATGTACCATCTATCCAGGGAAGGGGAGGCCCATGAACGTAGGCTCCCTGCAGGGCCCAAGGTCAACGGAACATTCCAGGCCGACTTTCCTCTGGACCCTGCCACCCACGGAGGGACCTACAGATGCTTCGGCTCTTTCCGTGACTCTCCATACGAGTGGTCAAAGTCAAGTGACCCACTGCTTGTTTCTGTCACAGGTGAGGAAAGCCCATGGCTGTCCCATGTCCTATGATCCTAGAGCCTTAGCTGAGGAGCTTCCTGCTGAGGATGGAGAGAAGCATGGACAGATGCAGAGAGAAGACGCAGCCTCGGTGTGAGGGAGGGATCAGGGCACAGGATGGCAGACAGGGCACCTCCAAACCCTCCTACATGGCCTGCATGGAGGCCCGCGGCCAGGGCTCCAGGCACCCAGGCAGATGGAGAAAGCGGTCAGGAGAGACCCAGAGGAGGGAGACTGGGCTCAGTTTGGGGAGATCAGAGGTTCCCTCAGCCCCTCAACATTACCCATTTCCCAGAAGCCCATCCTGGCCTCTCACCCACACAGAGATGTCATCACCAGCAATCCCTACACCCTTTACTTTTCTTTGAAGAAATATTTATTGAGGATAAATATACCTATATAGCTTACCACCTTTAACATTTTTTTTTGAGGTGGAGTCTAGCTCTGTCCCCTATGCTGGAGTGCATTGGCACAATCTCAGCTCACTGCAACCTCCGCCTCCTGGGTTCAAGCGATTCTCCTGCCTCAGCCACCTGAGTAGCTGGTGCTACAGGCACGCACCACCATGCCAGGCTACTTTTTGTATTTTTAGTAGAGAGGTGGTTTCACCATGTTGGTCGAGCTGGTCTCGAACTCCTGACCACATGATCCACCCGCATCAGCCTCCCAAAGTGCTGGGATTACAGGCATGGGCCACCGCACCCAGCCACATTTACCATTTTTAAGTGTAAAGTCTAGTGGTCATAAATACATTTATATATATATATATACATTTTTTTTACCCTCCACCCTTTTCTTCCTGTCCTCCAGTAGCCACCATTCTACTCTCTACCTTCATGAGATCCACCTTTTAGCTCCTGTATATGGGTGAGAAATGGGAATCTTTGTAATGACCTCCAGTTCCATCCATGTGGCTGCAAATGACAGGATGTTATTCTTTCTATGGATGAGTAGTCTCCACTGTGCGTATGTACTACATTCTCTCTATCCATTCACCCACTGATGGGCAGGTAGGTTGACTCCTCATCTTGGCTACTGTGAACAGTGCTGCACCAATCATACGAGTGCAGATATCACTTCGATATATTGATTTACTTTCCTTTGGATATAAACCCAGTAGTGAAATTGCTGGATACTATGAAAGTTCTCTTTTTTTTTTTTTTCTTTTTTGAGAAAGAGTTTCCCTCCTTAGCCCAAGCTGGAGTCAAAGTGGTGCGACCTTGGCTCATTGCAACCTCCGCCTCCTGGGTTCCAATGATTTTCCTGCCTCAGCCTCCCTAGTAGCTGGGATTACAGGTGCACGCCACCATGCCTGGCTACTTTTTGGTTTTTTTAGTATAGATGCGGTTTCCCCATGTTGGCTGGGCTGCTCTCAAACTCATGACCTCAACTGAGGTGCCCGCCTCAGTCTCCCAAAGTGCCGGGATTACAGGCCTGATCCACCACACCCAACCTCTTTTTAGTTCTTTAAAGGACTTCCATACTTTTCTCCGTAATCGCTGTACTAACTTACACTCCTCCCAACAGGGTACCAGGGTTCTCCTTTCTCTACCACCTTGCCAGCATTTCTTTTGCCTGTCTTGCAGCTAAAAGCCATTTTATTTTATTTCATTTTATTTTGAGATGGAGTTTCGCTCTTGTCACCCAGGCTGAGTGCAGTGGTGCGATCTCGGCTCACCGCAACCTCCACCTCCCAGGTTCAAGCGATTCTCCTGCCTCAGCCTCCCGAGTAGCTGGAATTACAGGCACACGCCACCACGCCCTACTAATTTTTGTATTTTTAGTAGAGACAGCGTTTCTCTATGTGGGTCATACTGGTCTCAAACTCCCGACCTTATGAGATTCACCCACCTCAGGCTCTCAAAATTCTAGGATGACAGACGTGAGCCACCTCGCCCGGCCTAAAAGCCATTTTAATGGAGTGAGATGAAAACTCACTTTGATTTTAATTTGCGTTTCTCTGATGATGAGTGATACTGAGCAGTTTTTCGTATGTGGGGAAATTTCATGTCTTTTGCTCCTTTTTCAATTAAATCATTTGTTTTATTGAGTTGTTTGAGCTTCTTATATTTCTAGTTATTAATCCCATCTCAGATGCATAGTTTGCACATATTTGCTCCCAATCTGTGGGTTGTCTCTTCACTTTGTTGGTTTATTTTTAGCAGTGCAGAAGTTGCTTAGTTTGAGGTAATCCCAATGGTCTATTTTTGCTTCGATTACTTGTGTTTTCAAGGTTTAAAACAAAATGTCTTTCTTCAGACAAATGTCCTGGAGCATTTCCCCAATATTTTGTTCTACGTGTTTCATAGGTTCAGGCCTTAGACTCACATCTTTAATCCATTTTCATTTGATTTTTGTGTATGGTGACAGGTAGAGGTGCAGTTTCATTCCTCTGCATGTCGATGTCCAGGTTTCCCTGCACTGTTTATTGAAAAGACTGTCCTTTCCTGATTGTGAGTTCTTGGCACCTTTGTCAAAGTCCATTGGATGGGCTGGGCTTGGTAGCTAACACCTGCAATTTCAGCACTTTGGGAGGCCGAGGCGGGTGGATTACCTGAGGCCAGGAGTTCAAGATCAGTCTGGACGACATGATGAAACATCGTCTCCACTAAAAATATAAAAATTAGCTGAGCATGGTGGTCAGCACCTGTAATACCACTACTCAGGAGTTTGAGGCAAGAGAATGATTGAACCCAGGAGGCTGAGGTTGCAGTGAACTGAGATTGCACCTCTGCACTCCAGCCTGAGTGACAGAGCAAGACTCCATCTCAAAAGAAAAAATAAAAACCATTGGATGTAAATGCATGGAATATATCTGTGTTATTCATTCTGCTCCATTGTTCTATGTGCCTTTCTTTATGCCAATGTCATGCTGTTTTGCTTACTACAGCTCTGTAACATATTTTGAGATCAGGTAGTGTGATGCTCCTGTTTTCTCTTTATACCTTGAAGTCTCAAGACAGTGGGTGTCACATAAAAAAATTATGGAAAAAAGGATCCCAGGACTCCCAGGGCCCAATATTAGATAACAGAGTGTTGGCCATGAACCATCCTCAAAGATTTCCACTGAGTAGAGGACAGACACCCTCATTTCCTCACCTCTCTCCTGTCTCGTGTTCTAGGAAACTCTTCAAATAGTTGGCCTTCACCCACTGAACCAAGCTCCAAAACCGGTGAGTACAGAACCCTCTTATATCCGCTTTTGGAAACCTGGGGAGGTGGAAACCTTGGATTCAGGCGTTGACTCAGCATCTCACAGCTCTGACATTGTACCCCTGTCTTCCACCATCTCCGAACTCCAGATACTCCAACAGCGAAAGGGATCTGGGCCCAACACAGGGCTCAGTGAAATCTCTTCATCTCTCATTTTATGGAGCTGAGACCTCCTACAAGCTAGAAGAATGATTGCCAATCTGACATCCTTCTCAGGAAAAATGCAATGTTTGTTCTGCCTGCATTCCTAACTGGAGGATAAATTCCTGGAGACTTGAGAGAGGGAAGGGAAGGGAACATCTGATGAGGGCGAGGTGTTTTAGAGAAGTTCCACTTGCCAAGGAATGAGCTCCTGTAGGTCATGAAGCAACCCTGGCTGACTCAGCAGAGCAAGAGCCTTGCCGTAACAGAGAACAGAGCTCATGCACGCACACTTCGACTCACTGACTCATTCAGCCACGGCCCCATGCTCAGGCTGTGCAGTGTGGAAGCTTTTCCTATTGTTGCCATAACAAATTTCCACAAGATTCGTGGGTGAAAACAAAACGGTTTTTTAATTATCTTACAGTGCTCTAGCTCAAAGTATGAAGTGCATCTCACTGGGCTAAAATCAAGGCGACAGCAAGGCTGCCTTCCCTCTGAGGGTTCCAGGCAAGAATCTGCTTCTCACTTGTCCCAGCTTCTAGAGGCTCCCACATTCCTTCGCTCCTGGTCCCCTTCCTCCTTCCTCAAAGCCCACAAAGGCTGGTCACATCTCACGTGGCATCACTCAGACCCTTCTTCCTTACCACACCTCTTTATCTGAATGCTGCTCTCCCTTCTTCCTCATCTTTTGAAAACTTGGGGATTCTATTGGGTTCACCAAGATGAAAATCCATCATAATCTCCAGGAAATCATTCAGGATACCCTTGTTTTAAGTTCAGCTGATTAGCAACCATAATTCCATCTGCAATCTTCATTCCTCCTTTCCATGTAAAATAACATATTCACAAGCTATGGAGGCTAGGACAGGGACATTTTGGGGTGGGACAGCATTCTCCTACCTTCCACAAACAGTGAACAAGATGCATTTGGCCTCTGCCCTTGGGACACTGATATTGCAGATGGTTAAATGGGAGGGCAGAAAATGAATGCACAAGTGGACCAATAAATGAATGATCCATTGGGAAGCATCTGTGTATGAAATCTATTTGTTTGTTTCTTCGTTTGTTTATTGAGACAGAGTCTCCCTCTGTCTTCCAGGCTACAGTGCAGTGTCACCATCTTGGCTCACTGCAACCTGCACCTTCTGGATCCAAGTGATTCTCCTGCGTCAGCCTCTCGAGTAGCTGGGATTACAGGCAACTGCCACCATGCCCGGCTAATTCTTTTTGTATATTTTTTGTAGAGGATGTTTCACCATCTTCGCCAAGCTTCTCTGAAACTCCCAACCTCAAGTGATCCGACCGTCTCAGCATCCTAAAGTACTGGGATAACTGGCGTGAGCCACTGTGCCCAGCCAGAATTTAAAATAAATAATACATAATGCTGAGTGTATGATTTTGGGTGACAGAGAAGATCTCACTAATCAGATATTTGTGACATTAATGAAAAACACGGATTGAACCCCTGAAAGATTGGCGGAAGGATTTTCCACACACAGCTGTCAGCCGTGAAGGCAGAAAGCTGAAAACAATCTGATGTGGAAGGAAGAGGCTCTGCCTCAAATGCTGGGAATGAGATGGGGAGAATGACAAGACGACTGTGGAGAGACGGAGAGCACACTGGGTACACAGGAAACTAAGGAGGAACAAGGAGTGTGTGTTTGACACTCACAGCCATTGGATTCACCTCGGGGTAGCCAGGAATCCCTACATGATTAATAGTGACTGACATGAAAATAAGGGAGGCCCAGGTGCGTAACTGGAATCTAGGAGACTGTGGAAAAGGCAATTCCCGCCTCACTGGTGAAATGTGGTGCTGATTTAGACCCTAACTGGGTGAAGCAGATGGATATAAGATATGCTTGTGAGGTGGAATCATTGGCTGGAAAGGCTTGCTGGGTATGATTTTCCTAGTTGTCTAATCCTCGCTTAATTTCTTTCTGAGCTTTATTCCTACTACACATAAATCAATACCTGGCAAAGGAGTGACAGATATATGAGGGGTGGTGGAAATGAAGGGACCTATTATAGCATAATATACAAGTCTGTGAACGGTGGCTCACGCCTGTAACCCAGCACTGCAGGAGGCCAAGGCGGGTGGATCACACGAAGTCAGCAGTTCGAGACCAGCCTGGCCAACATGGTGAAACCCTGTCTCTAGGAAAAACACAAAAATTAGCCGAACATGGTGGTGCATCCCTGTAATGCCAGCTCCTACTCTGGAGGATGAAGCAGGAGAATGACTTCAACCCAGGAGGTGGAGTTTGCAGTGAGTGGAGATTGCATCACTGCACTCCAGCCTGGGTGACACAAGGAGACTCCGTCTCAAAAAATAAAAATAAGAAATGCATAAATATAAATATAATATAACACACGCAAATGACAAAGGGACCTGAATTCCAATCATGATTTTTCTATTTCTCTATAATTACTTCTTTGATCCTTTATCTTATCCATTAGGCAATGAGCCTAAAACCTCTTCCCTATTTGGCTTTCTGTGAGCATGAGATCATATAGAAAATGTGAAAGCCCGCTGAATCCTCCAGCACAGATCCTGGAATACACAAAGTGCTCTGTTCATCACAAAAAAAACATGCCCTCTCACCCAAATCCCCCACCTCACCCCTACTTCCAATCATCTGTGGAGATTCAGATAGGCCATGGGGAGGTAAATTCTAATACTCCTTGGAGTGAGTCCAGATCTTGGAATCAGAGATCAGCGTCAGCACTAGCTCCTGCTCCCCTTTCCTACTAATTCACAGGAGGACAGGTGGTATTGAAGCAATAGATGGCCGAGGGTGTGGTCCTTCCCCCAGCCTCTGGGGTAGAACAGCAGCCTAACATGTGTCTCCTGAGATCACAAAGAGTAGCACGTTTCACATGGGCTTCAACACTATTTCCTGGCCATTTGACATAAGAGAATTCTACTTCGCTTTTTTTATCTTGATTTCACTTTTGTTTCCTTTTCTTGGAGAATGCAAGTTGTTTGACTCAAGAATGCCGTGGATGTATAAATCCTAAAGCACATTCGCTGTGTATCAATCCCAGTGCAGTCTTCCCAGAGAAGACTCTAAACACCTCCTGGACTGCACCTGGGCCTATGCCAATTCCTATCACTCACCGTCACTCCAGGGAGACAGAACACACAGAGAATACATTACACAGGCAGGTTCATTACTAACAGATAAGCAGCGAGTGACAACAGAAGCCTACATTTCAATGTGAGCCAGTCCCTCAAGGCTCAGAAAAGCTGCTCGGGACATATGGAGTCACCCCATTTGCAGTGTAGCTGGGGGAAGCCAGAAAGCAGCCCAGCCTGGGTTTTGTACCCTGGAGCCACAGGAAGCACTCAGCTAAAGCACTGCATGACGCCTTCCTCCAGGAAGAACAGGAAGACAGCCCAGGCTGTTCTGAGACATTCCTCCTGATCTCAGGACATTGCTGTCGTAGTTTTTTTTTGTTGCTCTAAAGGAAAACTTGAGCCTCGGTAACTTCTAAAGAAAAGAGATCGGTTTGCCTCACCGTTCTGCAGGCTGTACTGGAAGCATGGCACCAGAATCTATTTCTTGTGACGGCCTCAGGCTGCTCCCACTCTGGCAGAAGGGAAGGAGGGTCTGTCTGTGCAGAGACCGCAGAGATCACACGGCAAGAGAGAGAGTAAGGGGGAGGGGGAGCGATGGAGCTTCCAAGCTCTTTTGAACAACCAGCTCTCCGGGAACTAATAGAGGGGGAACTTGCTAACCCCGTCTCCTTGGGACAGCATTGTTCTGTTCATGATGGATCCACCTCCATGACCCAAACACCTCCCAAGAGGCCCAACCTCCCACAGTGGGGGTGAAATTTCCATGTGAGGTTTGAAGGGGTCAGACATCTCAACTAAAGTAGTCGTATCCTCAGCACGTTCTATGGTTACTATGAGAGCTATAATTGAGAAAGCAGGGGAAAGCTAGGTCTCCCACCATTTGGGTGCTTGTCCTAAAGAGACGTTGTATGTGGTTACCTGTCAATCAAGAAATGCGAGACAATTCATAAAGAGGAACTGCTATGATTAGCTTCTTATTGGTGTCTCCTCTTCTTCCAGGTAACCCCAGACACCTACACGTTCTGATTGGGACCTCAGTGGTCAAACTCCCTTTCACCATCCTCCTCTTCTTTCTCCTTCATCGCTGGTGCTCCAACAAAAAAAGTAAGTCTCACGAAGCAGAGGCCAGAGAGCTCAGGGCCATGTGGGGAAGCAGGATGGTAGCACGCGGGTGTGTGTTCCTCACAGGCAGGATGGTCCCTGGCCCAAGGCAGGAGCCACAGAGGCAGGACTTTCTAGAGAGAGCACCAGATTCCCTTCCCCTGCCTTCAGCTCACAGACCATTGCCTGATTCTGAACTGTACCCTCACGTCCCCTGCAGCCACTCACATCCAGGAGAAGGTTCCATGACAGGCAGAAAGTGGGAGATAGAATCAATGGGATGGGAACTCAGAGCTATTCATGGGATGGGTCCTTGAGCTCAGAGAGATAGAATGTCTGAGTCTGCTGTTGGCAACTGAGGGACCTCAGGCACCTATGGCCTCCCCCTGTTTGTTGGTATCTGCTTATGAAATGAGGACCCAGAAGTGCCCTCCGAGCTGTTTTGTTGACTTCCATCTTCTACAGATGCATCTGTAATGGACCAAGGGCCTGCGGGGAACAGAACAGTGAACAGGGAGGTAGGTGCTCCTCGGCCCAGCCTCGTAGCTAGTCTTATTCCCAAAGAGTCCTGAAAAATGTGAGCACCCTCCCTCACTCAGCATTTCCCTCTCTCCAGGATTCTGATGAACAAGACCATCAGGAGGTGTCATACGCATAATTGGATCACTGTGTTTTCACACAGAGAAAAATCACTCGCCCTTCTGAGAGGCCCAAGACACCCCCAACAGATACCAGCATGTACATAGAACTTCCAAATGCTGAGCCCAGATCCAAAGTTGTCTTCTGTCCACGAGCACCACAGTCAGGCCTTGAGGGGATCTTCTAGGGAGACAACAGCCCTGTCTCAAAACCGGGTTGCCAGCTCCCATGTACCAGCAGCTGGAATCTGAAGGCATCAGTCTTCATCTTAGGGGATCGCTCTTCCTCACACCACGAATCTGAACATGCCTCTCTCTTGCTTACAAATGTCTAAGGTCCCCACTGCCTGCTGGAGAGAAAACACACTCCTTTGCTTAGCCCACAATTCTCCATTTCACTTGACCCCTGCCCACCTCTCCAACCTAACTGGCTTACTTCCTAGTCTACTTGAGGCTGCAATCACACTGAGGAACTCACAATTCCAAACATACAAGAGGCTCCCTCTTAACACAGCACTTAGACACGTGCTGTTCCACCTTCTCTCATGCAGTTCCACCTCCCCTCAGACTATCTTTCAGCCTTCTGTCAGCAGTAAAACTTATAAATTGTTTTTAGTAATTTCAATGTAGTTTTCCCTCCTTCAAATAAACATGTCTGCCCTCATGTTTTCGGTAATGGGACTCTTTTCTTGCCTAAGGCTTCCGGTGTTATCATTACCATGTCCACATAACCCCATCTGTTCTCCACTGGGTTCTCACCCCTGGACTCTGAGCTTCTGGAACAGGGTGGACCCTGACTTGTCTCTGAGACTCCAATTTCCATCCAAAGATGCAGCACATAGGAAGTTCCAAGGATCGTGAGTCACATGAACAAGTGATATTCTTACTCTCTGCAGACCTGGAAAGCTGGCAGAGTCATTCCATGATGAAACATTTGTAGAGTCATAGGCCTTGTTAGTCTCATCTCCACGGGGACACATGTCAACGCATCATCTTTCATACTATAAATATACAGTCGCTCCTCCGTATCTGTGGGGTTTACAGGTGTTTATTGAACCAAGTATAAATCAAAAATATTCAGAGAAAAAGCCCACAAAGTTCCAAAAAGCAAAACTGTGTTGAATGCACACAAATGAGGTGGTGTATAGGCTGTATCAGGAATTATAAGTAATCAAGAGATGATTTCATGTATACAGGAGGATGTGCATGGGTTATATCCAAATGCTGTGTCATTTTATGTAAGAGGCTTGAGCATCTGCAGATTTTAGTATCTGAGTGGAGATCCTGAAACCAATCACCCATGAATAGTGAAGGATGACGGTATAGGACTTTTATTTCTCAAATTTAAATATAAATCATAAAAAATGTACAATAACTAGATAAAAACTAAGAAGTGTTTTTATAGTGTGAGAATAAGTTTAGATTTATTATTTCCTATGTGTAACCCTTTGGTTTAATATTATTTATTGAGAAGACATTCTATGCCACCTTAAACCACACGGCAGCCTTTGTCAACTAAAAAGGGACTGTGTGTACACGGATGTGTATTTTAGACACTGTCTCTGCTAAACGGCTCTCTGTGTCCACATTCTTGAGGATGCTCCACTTTATGTAGCCCCATAGAACCCTTTAAATTTAGTAGCCAGAGGCCTCTAATTTGTTATTATAGGCTATTTGCTATTTTTATTTTCTTGAGGCGGAGTCTTGCTCTGTCGCCCAGGCTGGACTGCAGTGGTGCAATCTCAGCTCACTGCAACCTCCGCCTCCCAGGTTCAAGCGATTCTCGTGCCTCAGCCTCTTGGGTAGCTGGTGTTACAAGTTCCTGCCACTGGGCACGGCTAATTTTTGGATTTTTAGCAGAGACACGGTTTCACTGTGTTGCCAGGCTGCTCTCAAACTCCTTATATCAGTTGATCCGCCCACCTCGGCTTCCCGACGTGCTGGGGGAAACTTGATTTTCTATAGCATTATGTTACTGGATATTTCTGTAAAATTTAAAATGAGGGAGGGAGAGAGACAGAGAGAGAGCAAACTCCAGAGTTGGGACTCTGGAAACTTGGGTCATGAGACAAATTTTAGATAAATCTACAAAAATCCAGAGTTTAAATGTGTGGTTTTTGCTGATAACGTACAATTCAAAGATTGTAAATAATTGCATAATCCTTCCCTGGGAATTTAAATCATTTTAACTGGTTCTGCTGTAATACTAGAAATACAAGCATGAAAAATTCTAATGGTTTATTAGTCACAATGACTCTGAAAACCTTAATAATACCTATTAGATATTTTGCATATTACACAGGAAGAAGAGTTTGAATCTCAGATAAAAACAATAAAAATACATGAAAAGTCTTTCACGTTAGCACAGATTTTAGGCATCTCGTGTTCAGGAGGTTGGATCTGAGACGTGTTTTGAGTTGGTCATAGTGAAGGACGCTAGGTGTAAATTCTAGTGAGAACAATTTCCAGGAAGCCGTGTTCCGCTCTTGAGCGAGCAACCACTGGGCCTCATGCAAGGTAGAAAGAGCCTGCGTACGTCACCCTCCCATGATGTGGTCAACATGTAAACTGCATGGGCAGGGCGCCAAATAACATCCTGTGCGCTGCTGAGCTGAGCTGGGGCGCGGCCGCCTGTCTGCACCGGCAGCACCATGTCGCTCACGGTCGTCAGCATGGCGTGTGTTGGTGAGTCCTGGAAGGGAATAGAGGAAGGGAGTGTGGGGTTGGAGATCTGGGCCCAGAGGTGGAGATATAGGCCTGGAGGTGGAGTTGTGGGCCTGGAGTGGAGATCTGGGCCTGGAGTGGATATATGGGCCTAGAGATGGAGTGATGGGCCTAGAAGTGGAGATCTGGGCCTGGAGTGCCGATAGGAACCTGGAGGGGAGATAGGAGCCTGGAGTGGAGATATGGGCCTGGAGGTGGAGTTATAGGCCTATAGTAGAGATATGGGCCTGGAGTGGAGATATGGGCCAGGAGTGGAGATATGGGCCTAGAGGTGGATATCTGGGCCTAGAGTGGAAATATGGGCCTAGGATGGAGATATGGGCCTGGTTGTGGAGATATGGGACTGGAGAGGAGATATGGGCCTAGAGTGGAGATATGGGCTTGGGGTGGAGATCTGGGCCTGGGGTGGAGATATGGGCCTGGAGGTGGAGTTACGGGCCTTCAGTAGAGATATGGGCCTGGGGTGGAGATATGGGCTTGGGGTGGAGATCTGGGCCTGGAGTGGAGATATGGGCCTGGAGGTGGAGTTACTGGCCTTCAGTAGAGATATGGGCCTGGTGTGGAGATATGGGCCTGGATTGGAGATATGGGCCTAGGGTGGAGATCTGAGCCTGGAGTGGAGATATGGGCCTGGATTGGAGATATGGGCTTACAGTGGAGATCTTGGCCTGGATTGGCGATATGGGCCTGGATTGGCGATATGGGCCTATGATGGAAATATCGGCCTGGAGTGGAGATATGGGCCTGGAGTGGAGATACAGGCCTAGGGTGGAAATATTGGCCTGGAGTGGAGATATGGGCTTGTGGTGGGGATATGGGCTTGTGGTGGGGATCTGGGCTTGGAGGCTGGGTCTCTGCACAGCCGACAGCCCTGTTCTTGGGTGCAGGTAGGCACTGAGGGTGAGTTTAACTTCAGTCCAGGAAGGGCCTGCCTACCAAGACTCACAGCCCAGTGAGGGCAGCAAGGGTGCCCTGGTTCGCCTGCAGATGGATCGTCCATCATGATCTTTCTTTCCAGGGTTCTTCTTGCTGCAGGGGGCCTGGCCACATGAGGGTGAGTCCTTCTCCAAACCTTCGGGTGTCATCTCCCCACATAAGAGGATTTTCCTGAAACAGGAGGGAAGTCCTGTCGGGGAGCCTCTCATAAACTAGGAAGAGGGGACCCTGGGGTGCTCGGCCCACAGTTCCGACCTCGCCTCCCTGGCCTTTCATTCCCTTGGCAGAGTCAAGTTCTGTGGGGACCAGGGTTAGACTGGGGTGCTCAAAGCTGGGGTGTGTGGTGGGGAAGTGGTAGGAACAGCAGATCCTCTGAGGACAAAGGTGTTACTCACACTTCAGCGTTTCCATGACGGTAGGGGCTGCAGTGTGGCTGCTGTCACTCCACCAGAAGAGGTGGGAAACCACAGCCATGGCCCTGACATTCCAAATCCTCTGATGGGGGCTCAGTTGCTTATTTTCATTCAGGCATCGGCTGATATTCCATTCTCAAAGGACATGCCCTCCACCCCATGTCTACCCTGTGTTGTTTTATGTGAGTAATCTTACAGTATTAAAATCTAGTAGGAGTCTCTTACTCAGCACTTGCTCAAAGTTCTCAGCTGACACTTTTGTTGTAGGGAGACACCTTGTGTTTGCGGGATGGGTCCTTCCTTTAGCCCTGGGCACCAAGGTGTGATAGCAGCCATAGAAACTTGGAAAGCGAGGAGAATCTTCAGAGCACAGGGAGGGAGGGGTGGCTCCACATCCTCCTCTCTAAGGCGGTGCCTCCTTCTCCCCAAGGTGGTCAGGACAAGCCCTTGCTGTCTGCCTGGCCCAGCTCTGTGGTGCCTCCAGGACATGTGATTCTTCGGTGTCATTCTTATCTTGGGTTTAACAACTTCAGTCTGTAAAAGGAAGATGGGGTGCCTGGCACTGAGCTCTACAACAGAATATTCTGGAAGAGCCTTTTCATGGGCCCTGTGACCCCAGCACACACAGGGACGTACAGATGTCGGGGTTCACACCCACACTCCCCCAGTGGGTGGTCGGCACCCAGCAACCCCCTGGTGATCATGGCCACAGGTCAGAGGGCTCCTGTCTTGGATTCTCCTTTCCCACCTCCTGAATCCCAGAGCTTCTGGTGGGCGTGTCCTTGAGGGTCCCATCACCCAGGCCCTGACTATATTTGGGGTAAAGGGGGATTGAATACAGGGAAATGGGTGCTGTGGTGGGAAGAATAATTGTCCCCAGTGATGACTACATTCTAATCCCTGGAGTCTGTGACTATTTATGTTATAGGGGAAGGAACTGAAGGGGAAGATGGAGCTCAGGTTGTTGATGAGTTGACCTTGAGATGGGGAGACAGCCTGGACTGTCCCGCTGGGCTCAGTGTAATCACAAGGGTCCACATGAAAGGAGGAGGAAGAGGGGAGTGGGGATTAGAGCAGCGCAATGGGAGACTCCACCAGCTTTGAAGGTGGAGGAAGTCCAGGAGCCATGAATGCAGGTGGCCTGTAGAGGCTGGAAAAGTCAAGGAAATGATTCTCCAGAGTCTCCAGAGGGAACGAAGCCCTGCAGATGCCTTGATTTTAGCCCAGGAAAAACAGGGTCCTATTTCTGTCTCCAGTAGTGAAATGGGTCAGTGTGCTCTCTCCTGCTGCCATGCTTCTGATAATTTTCTACAGCAGCAACAGGAAACCAACACTGGAACCCAGGTCAAGGACAAGTTAAGAAACAACACAAGGATAGCCGGGTGTGGTGGCAGGCGCATGTAATCCTAGCGACTTGGGAGGCTGAGGGCAGGAGAATCACTTGAACCCAGGAGACAGAGGTTGCAGTGACCCTAGACCACACCACTTCACTCCAGCTGGGGTGAAGGAGTGAGACTCTGATCTCCATAATTAATTAATTAATTAAAGGAACCAAACAAGGGGAAGGTTGGCTACACCGAGATCAGCAAGTGTGGGATGATGATGCCACCACCAGGCTCCATCCACATAGGGAGGGGTTGATACTCCTCAAACCAGCACCAGGAGCCAGCCTATGGAAGCTGGCACCATGGAGAAGGCACAGGCATGGCAAGAGTGGCTCCCAGTCCCGACCAGGAACAGGGTGTGTGGACACTGCTGCCTGCCTTATTCATCAGTTCATACCTCCTGCCAAGGATTCCAATTCATCCAAAAGAGATTGAACCAGGCTGATAAGAGGCTGGATGTGCAGCCTATCCTGGTTCCTCTTTCACCCCCACATAAACAGCAGGAAAGACATTAGTGTGAAATAGATACAACACCCCAAGAGATGAGGCTAAGCCCAGTGGGAAGGGAATCAGAGGCGACTAGAGACAGAGAGACAGAGAAGAGGGAGGGAGACAGATGGAAGGACCTGCACCAGGAGTTATGGGCACAGAAAAGAACATGAAGACACAGAGAGGAAGGAGAGAGACAGACACCAGCAAGGGGAAGCCTCACTCATTCTAGGTGCCATGGATGGGATGATAAAGAGAGACACCTTCTAAACTCACAACCTCTCTTCCTAGGAGTCCACAGAAAACCTTCCCTCCTGGCCCACCCAGGTCCCCTGGTGAAATCAGAAGAGACAGTCATCCTGCAATGTTGGTCAGATGTCAGGTTTGAGCACTTCCTTCTGCACAGAGAGGGGACATTTAACGACACTTTGCACCTCACTGGAGAGCACCATGATGGGGTCTCCAAGGCCAACTTCTCCATCGGTCCCATGATGGAAGACCTGGCAGGGACCTACAGATGCTACGGTTCTGTTACTCACTCCCCCATCAGTTGTCAGCTCCCAGTGACCCTCTGGACATCGTCATCACAGGTGAGAGTGTCCGGACATTCTTCTCATTGTCATTGGGATGCAGAGTGAATGATCCACGACTTGGAACCCCCAGGTAGTTGTAAGGAAGATGAGCTTGGTATTCTTATGGAGAGAGACTGACTTGGTGAGGTCTGTACCAACAGAGACAGAGAAACAGGAGACACAAGTACAGACCAGGTGTCATAACAGAGGACAGACACAGGGGCCATACCGGGAGTTAGAAAAGACAGAAGGAGTTAAAGGAGACAGACAGACAGACATGTCCCAGAGAGAGGTGTCCCTCCATGCTGACTTTGCTCAGAGACCTGGCACAGGTTAGAAGTTTCATTTCTGTTTTACCTCCACAAAGTGTTCTCTACCAGGAGAACCCAAGGACACCCATATTTCTGACCTGAGTTGGGCCCTGTGGCCTCAGGCCTTGTGGCACCTACAGATGCCGTGTTTATTCTCACACCTCTGCCTTCCATGTAATGGAGAGTAACCGTCCCAGGATATCATGGCCCCAGAACACCAACTCCTGTATGCTGTGTGAACTTGTGGTCTCCAGACTGGATTCTGAGGCTCACATTCCAAATAACCCCACATATGAAAGGATCACTGAGAGGCACAGAGAGAAATCAGGGACACCAAAAAGCAAAGACATAAACACACAGAGAATGAGCCAGAGGAAGGAGATTGAGAGACTCACAGACACATAAAGAGAGAGAAAAGAGGGCAGAGGAGTGGTGAGAATGATGGAAGGGAGCAGAGAAAAGCACTAAAATTAGAGTCCTGAGGGAGAGGCACAAGGACATAGAAAGATGGAGATGTGGGGATGAATTGCAGAGATTCCAAAGAGAACTAGAGAGACCGAGAGGCAGAGCAAGACAGATGATAGATGGTTAGATATAGATAGATGATAAATAGGTAGATGATAGATAATAGGTTAAAGATACATAGATGATGATTGATTGATTCATTAATAGATGAGACATAGAGATGATGATGATGAAGACAGATAGATAATACATAGAGATAGAGAGGCAGACAGAAGTCATAGAGAGAGAGATGATACATAGATATAGATAACAGATGATTGATGGATAGATAGACAAGTGATAGATACATAGATGATATATAGATATAGATGACAGGTAGAGAATTTGTAGATAGGCACCGAATAGATAAATAGATAGATCGACAGATAATAGATAGAAATATGCAGAAAGTTATGAACAGGACACAAAGTGAGAAACTTAGAATTTAAAAAAGTAACATCAAGTGAACCAATCCAAGGAGAGTCAGAGAGAATAAAACAATCCAAAAAGGGAAAACATATCTAGAGGTGTGGAAGCGAGGTCAGAGACCTAGAGAGACAGAGAAGGTGGAAGGAGGAAATAGACATGAAGAGAGATGGGGTGGAGGGTGAGAGAGAGAGAGAGAGAGCATTAGGTCATAGAGCAGGGGAGTGAGTTCTCAGCTCAGGTGAAGGGAGCTGTGACAAGGAAGAGCCTCCGTAAGGAAAATGCCTCTTCTCCTTCCAGGTCTATATGGGAAACCTTCTCTCTCAGCCCAGCCGGGCCCCACGGTTCTGGCAGGAGAGAGCGTGACCTTGTCCTGCAGCTCCCGGAGCTCCTATGACATGTACCATCTATCCAGGGAGGGGGAGGCCCATGAACGTAGGTTCTCTGCAGGGCCCAAGGTCAACGGAACATTCCAGGCTGACTTTCCTCTGGGCCCTGCCACCCACGGAGGAACCTACAGATGCTTCGGCTCTTTCCGTGACTCTCCCTACGAGTGGTCAAACTCGAGTGACCCACTGCTTGTTTCTGTCACAGGTGAGGAAAGCCCATGGCTGTCCCATGTCCTATGATCCTAGAGCCTTAGCTGAGGAGCTTCCTGCTGAGGATGGAGAGAAGGATGAACAGATGCAGAGAGAAGACGAAGCTTGGGTGTGAGGGAGGGATCAGGGCACAGGATGGCAGACAGGGCACCTCCAAACCCTCCTACATGGCCTGCATGAAGGCCTGCGGCCAGGACTCCAGGCACCCAGGCAGATGGAGAAAGCTGTCAGGAGAGACCCAGAGGAGGGAGACTGGGCTCAGTTTGGGAAGATCAGAGGTTCCCTCAGCCCCTCAACATTACCCATTTCCCAGAAGCCCATCCTGGCCTCCCACCCACACAGGGATGTCATCACCTGCAACCCCTACACCGTTTACTTTTGTTTGAGAAATATTTATTGAGGATAAATATAACTATATAGCTTACCACCTTTAACATTTTTTTTTTTGAGGCGGAGTCTAGCTCTGTCCCCTATGCTGGAGTGCATTGGCACAATCTCAGCTCACTGCAACTTCCGCCTCCTGGGTTCAAGCGATTCTCTTGCCTCAGCCACCTGAGTAGCTGGTGCTACAGGCGCGCACCACCATGCCAGGCTACTTTTTGTATTTTTAGTAGAGAGGGGGTTTCACCATGTTGGTCAAGCTGGTCTCGAACTCCTGACCACGTGATCCACCCGCATCAGCCTCCCAAAGTGCTGGGATTACAGGCATGAGCCACCACGCCCAGCCACATTTACCGTTTTTAAGTGTAAAGTCTAGTGGTCATAAATACATTAATATATATATATACACACATATATTTTTTTTTACCCTCCACCCTTTTCTTCCTGGCCTCTGGTAGCCACCATTCTACTCTCTACCTTCATGAGATCCACCTTTTAGCTCCTGTATATGGGTAAGAAATGGGAATCTTTGTAATGACCTCCAGTTCCATCCATGTGGCTGCAAATGACAGGATGTTATTCTTTCTATGGAAGAGTAGTCTCCACTATGCAAATGTACCACATTCTCTCTATCCATTCACCCACTGATGGGCAGGTAGGTTGACTCCACATCTTGGCTACTGTGAAGAGTGCTGCACCAATCATACGAGTGCAGATATCACTTCGATATATTGATTTACTTTCCTTTGGATATAAACCCAGTAGTGAAATTGCTGGATACTATGAAAGTTCTCTTTTTAGTTTTTCGTTTGTTGTTTTGTTTTTGTTTTTGAGACAGTTTCCCTCTGTGCCAGGCTGGAGTACAAGTGATATGATCTTGGCTCATTGCAACCTCTGCCTCCTGGGTTCAAATGATTTTCCTGCCTCAGCCTCCCTAGTATCAGGGATTATAGGCGCACGCCACCATGCCTGGCTACTTTTTGTTTTTTTTAGTATAGATGCGGTTTCCCCATGTTGGCTGGGCTGCTCTCAAACTCATGACCTCAACTGAGGTGCCCGCCTCGGTCTCCCAAAGTGCCGGGATTACAGGCCTGATCCACCTCACCCAACCTCTTTTTAGTTCTTTAAAGGACTTCCACACTTTTCTCCGTAATGGCTGTACTAATTTACACTCCTCCCAACAGGATACCAGGATTCTCCTTTCTCTAACACCTTGCCAGCATTTCTTTTGCCTGTCTTGCAGCTAAAAGCCATTTTATTTTATTTCATTTTATTTTGAGATGGAGTTTCGCTCTTGTCACCCAGGCTGAGTGCAGTGGTGCGATCTCGGCTCACCGCAACCTCCACCTCCCAGGTTCAAGCGATTCTCCTGCCTCAGCCTCCCGAGTAGCTGGAATTACAGGCACACGCCACCACGCCCGACTAATTTTTGTATTTTTAGTAGAGACAGTGTTTCTCCATGTGGGTCAGACTGGTCTCAAACTCCCGACCTTATGAGATTCACCCACCTCAGGCTCTCAAAGTTCTAGGATGACAGACGTGAGCCACCTCACCCGGCCTAAAAGCCATTTTAATGGGGTGAGATGAAAACTCACTTTGATTTTAATTTGCGTTTCTCTGATGATGAGTGATACTGAGCACTTTTTAGTATGTGGGGAAATTTCATGTCTTTTGCTCCTGTTTCAATTAAATCATTTGTTTTACTGAGTTGTTTGAGCTTCTTATATTTCTAGTTATTAATCCCATCTCAGATGCATAGTTTGCACATATTTGCTCCCAATCTGTGGGTTGTCTCTTCACTTTGTTGGTTTATTTTTAGCAGTGCAGAAGTTGCTTAGTTTGAGGTAATCCCAATGGTCTATTTTTGCTTCGATTACTTGTGTTTTCAAGGTTTAAAACAAAATGTCTTCCTTCAGACAAACGTCCTGGAGCATTTCCCCAATATTTTCTTCTACGTGTTTCATAGGTTCAGGCCTTAGACTCACATCTTTAATCCATTTTCATTTGATTTTTGTGTATAGTGACAGGCAGAGGTGCAGTTTCATTCCTCTGCATGTAGATGTCCAGGTTTCCCTGCACTGTTTATTGAAAAGACTGTCCTTTCCTGATTGTGAGTTCTTGGCACCTTTGTCAAAGTCCATTGGATGGGCTGGGCATGGTGGCTAACACCAGCAACTTCAGCACTTTGGGAGGCCAAGGCTGGTGGATCACCTGAGGACAGGAGTACAAGATTACTCTGGCCGACGTGATGAAACATCGTCTCCACTAAAAATATAAAAATTAGCTGAGCATGGTGGTCAGCACCTGTAATACCACTACTCAGGAGTTTGAGGCCAGAGAAGTGATTGAACCCAGGAGGCTGTGGTGGCAGTGAACCGAGATTGCACCTCTGCACTCCAGCCTGGGTGACAGAGCAAGACTCCATCTCAAAAGAAAAACAAAAAATACATTGGAGGTAAATGCATGGATTATATCTGTGTTATTCATTCTGCTCCGTTGTTCTATGTGCCTTTCTTCATGCCAACGTCATGCTGTCTTGCTTACTACAGCTCTGTAACATATTTTGAGATCAGGTAGTGTGATGCTCCTGTTTTCTCTTTATACCTTGAAGTCTCAAGACAGTAGCCGTCACATACAAAAATTATGGAAAAAAGGATCCCAGGACTCCCAGGGCCCAATATTAGATAACAGAGTGTTGGCCATGAACCAACCTCAAAGATTTCCACTGAGTAGAGGACAGACACCCTCATTTCCTCACCTCTCTCCTGTCTCGTGTTCTAGGAAACCCTTCAAATAGTTGGCCTTCACCCACTGAACCAAGCTCCAAAACCGGTGAGTACAGAACCCTCTTATATCCGCTTTTGGAAACCTGGGGAGGTGGAAACCTTGGATTCAGGCGTTGACTCAGCATCTCACAGCTCTGACATTGTACGCCTGTCTTCTACCATCTCCGAACTCCAGATACTCCAACAGCGAAAGGGATCTGGACCCAAAACAGGGCTCAGTGAAATCTCTTAATCTCTCATTTTATGGAGCTGAGATCTCCTACAAGCTAGAAAAATGATTGGCAATCTGACATCCTTCTCAGGAAAAATGCAATGTTTGTTCTGCCTGCATTCCTAACTGGAGGATAAATTCCTGGGGGCTTGAGAGAGGGAAGGGTAGGGAACATTTGATGAGGGCGAGGTGTTTTAGAGAAGTTCCACTTGCCCAGGAATGAATTACTGTTGGTCATGAAGCAACCCTGGCTGACTCAGCAGAGCAAGAGCTTTGCCTTAACAGAGAACGGAGCTCATGCACGCACACTTCGACTCACTGACTCATTCAGCCACGGCCCCATGCTCAGGCCATGGAAAAGGCAATTCCCAGCACTGCAGGAGGCCAAGGCGGGTGGATCACTTGAAGTCAGGAGTTCCAGACCAGCCTGGCCAAAATGGTGAAACCCTGTCTCTATGAAAAATACAAAAATTAGTCGAGCATGGTGGTGCATCCCTGTAATCCCAGCTCCTACTCTTGAGGATGAAGCAGGAGAATGACTTCAACCCAGGAGGTGGAGGTTGCAGTGAGTGGAGATTGCATCACTGCACTCCAGCCTGGGTGACACAAGGAGACTCCGTCTCAAAAAATAAAAATAAGAAATGCATAAATATAATAAAACACACACGAATGACAAAGGCACCTGAATTCCAATCATCATTTTTGTATTTCTCTATAATTACTTCTTTGATCCTTTGTCTTATCCATTAGGCAATGAGCCTAAAACCTCTTCCGTATTTGGCTTTCTGTGAGCATGAGACCATATAGAAAATGTGAAAGCCCGCTGAATCCTCCAGCACAGATCGTGGAATAGAGAAAGTGCTCTGTTCATCACAAAAAAAACTTGCCGTCTCACTCAAATCCCCCACTTCACCCCTACTTCCAATCACCTGTGGAGATTCAGATAGACCATGGGGAGGTAAACATTAATACTCCTTGGAGTGAGTCCAGATCTTGGAATGAGAGATCAGCACCAGCACTAGCTCCTGCTCCCCTTTCCTACTAATTCACAGGAGGACAGGTGGTATTGAAGCAATAGATGGTGGAGGGGGTGGTCCTTCCCCCAGCCTCTCAGGTAGAACAGCAGCCTAACATGTGTCTCCCGAGATCACAAAGAGTAGGACGTTTCACAGGGGCTTCAACACGATTTCCTGGCTGTTGGACATAAGATAACTCTATTTCGCTTTTTTATCTTGATTTCACTTTTGTTTCCTTTCCTTGGAGAACGCAAGTTGTTTGACTCAAGAATGCTGTGGATGTAGAAATCCTAAAGCACATTCGCTGTGTGTCAATCCCAGTGCAGTCTTCCCAGAAAAGACCCTAAACACCTCCTAGACTGCACCTGGGCCTACGCCAATTCCTATCACTCACCGTCACTCCAGGGAGACAGAACACACAGAGAATACGTTACATAGGCAGGTTCATTACTAACAGATAAGCAGCGAGTGAAAACAGAAGCCTACATTTCAATGTGAGCCAGTCCCTCAAGGCTCAGAAAAGCTGCTCGGGACATATGGAGTCACCCCATTTGCAGTGTAGCTGGGGGAAGCCAGAAAGCAGCCCAGCCTGGGTTTTGTACCCTGGAGCCACAGGAAGCACTCAGCTAAAGCACTGCATGACGTCCTCCTCCAGGAAGAACAGGAAGACAGCCCAGGCTGCTCTGGGACGTTCCTCCTGATCTCAGGACGTTGCTGTCTTAGTCCATTTTTGTTGCTCTAAAGGAACACTTGAGCCTGGGCAACTTCTAAAGAAAAGAGATTGGTTTGTCTCACCGTTCTGCAGGCTGTACTGGAAGCATGGCACCAGCATCTATTTCTCGTGATGGCCTCAGGCTGCTCCCACTCTGGCAGAAGGGAAGGAGGGTCTGTCTGTGCAGAGACCACAGAGATCACACGGCAAGAGAGGGAGCAAGGGGGAGGGGGAGTGATGGAGCTTCCAAGTTCTTTTGAACAACCAGCTCTCCAGGAACTAATAGAGGGGGAACTTGCTAACCCCGTCTCCTTGGGACAGCATTGATCTGTTCATGATGGATCCACCTCCATGACCCAAACACCTCTCAAGAGGCCCAACCTCCCACAATGGGGGTGAAATTTCAATGTGAGGTTTGAAGGGGTCAAACATCTCAACTAAAGTAGTTGTATCCTCAGCACATTCTATGGTTACTTTGAGAGCTATAACTGAGAAAGCAGGAGAAAGCTGGGTCTCCCGCCATCTGGGTGCTTGTCCTAAAGAGGTGTTTTACGTGGTTACCTGTCAATCAAGAAATGCGAGACAATTCATAAAAAGGAACTGCTATGATTAGCTTCTTATTGGTGTCTCATCTTCTTCCAGGTAACCCAAGACACCTGCACGTTCTGATTGGGACCTCAGTGGTCATCATCCTCTTCATCCTCCTCCTCTTCTTTCTCCTTCATCGCTGGTGCTCCAACAAGAAAAGTAAGTCTTACGAAGGAGAGGCCAGAGAGCTCCGGGCCATGTGGGGAAGCAGGATGGGAGCACTCAGGTGTGTGTTCCTCACAGGTAGGATGGTCCCTGGCCCAAGGCAGCAGCCACAGAGGCAGGACTTTCTAGAGAGGGCACCAGACTCCCTGTCCCTGCCTTCAGCTCACAGACCGTTGCCTGATTCTGAACTGTATCCTCATGTCCCCTGCAGCCACTCACATCCAGGAGAAGGTTCCATGACAGGCAGAAAGTGGGAGACAGAATCAATGGGATGGGAACTCAGAGCTATTCATGGGATGGGTCCTTGAGCTCAGAGAGATAGAATGTCTGAGTCTGCTGTTGGCAACTGAGGGACCTCAGGCTCCTATGGCCTCCCCCTGTTTGTTGGTATCTGCTTATGAAATGAGGACCCAGAAGTGCCCTCCGAGCTCTTTTGTTGACTTCCGTCTCCTACACATGCTGCTGTAATGGACCAAGAGCCTGCAGGGAACAGAACAGCGAATAGCGAGGTAGGTGCTCCTCGGCCCAGCCTCGTGGCTAGTGTTATTCCCAAACAGTCCTGGAAAATGTGAGCACCCTCCCTCACTCAGGATTTCCCTCTCTCCAGGACTCTGATGAACAAGACCCTCAGGAGGTGACATACGTACAGTTGGATCACTGCGTTTTCACACAGAGAAAAATCACTCGCCCTTCTCAGAGGCCCAAGACACCCCCAACAGATACCAGAGTGTACACGGAACTTCCAAATGCTGAGTCCAGATCCAACGTTGTCTCCTGCCCATGAGCACCACAGTCAGGCCTTGAGGGGATCTTCTAGGGAGACAATAGCCCTGTCTCAAAACCGGGTTGCCAGCTCCCATGTGCCAGCAGCTGGAATCTGAAGGCGTGAGTCTGCATCTTAGGGCATCGCTCTTCCTCACACCACAAATCTGAATGTGCCTCTCTCTTGCTTACAAATGTCTAAGGTCCCCACTGCCTGCTGGAGAGAAAACACACTCCTTTGCTTAGCCCACAATTCTCCATTTCACTTGACCCCTGCCCACCTCTCCAACCTTACTGGCTTACTTCCTAGTCTACTTGAGGCTGCAATCACACTGAGGAACTCACAGTTCCAAACATACAAGAGGCTCCCTCTTAACACGGCACTTAGACACGTCCTGTTCCACCTTCCCTCATGCTGTTCCACCTCCCCTCAGAGTATCTTTCAGCCTTCTGTCAGCAGTAAAACTTATATATTTTTTAAAATAATTTCAATGTAGTTTTCCCTCCTTCAAATAAACATGTCTGCCCTCATGGTTTCGGTAATGGGACTCTTTTCTTGCCTAAGACTTCCAGTGTTATCATTACCATGTCCACATAACCCCATCTGTTCTCCACTGGGTTCTCACCCCCGGACTCTGAGTTTCTGGAAGCAGGGTGGAGCCTCATTTGTCTCTGGGACTCCTATTTCCATCCAAAGATGTAGCACATAGGAGGTTCCAAGGATCGTGAATCACATGAACAAGTGATATTCTTACTCTCTGCAGACCTGGAAATCTGGCAGAGTCATTCCAAGATGAAACATTTGTAGAGTCATAGGCCTTGTTAGTCTCATCTACACAGGGACACATATCAACACATCATCTTTCACACTATAAATATACAGTCACTCCTCCATATCTGTGGGGTTTACAGTTCTTTATTGAACCGAGTATAAATCAAAAATATTCAGAGAAAGTATCCACAGAGTTACAAAAAGCAGAACTGTGTTGAATGGACACAAATGAAGCTGTGTGTAGGCTGCATCAGGAATTATAAGTAATCTAGAGATGATTTCATCTATACAGGAGGATGTGCATAGGTTATTTGCAAACTCTGTGCCATTTCATATAAGAGGCTTGAGCATCTACAGATTTTGGTATCTGAGTGGAGATCTCGAAACCAATCACCCAGGAATAGTGAAGGATGACCGTATATGACTTTTATTTCTCAAATTTAAATATAAATCATAAAAAATGTACAACTAGATAAAAACTAAGAAGTGTTTTTATAGTGTGAGTTAGATTTATTTTTTCCTAGGTATAACCCATTGGTTTAATATTATTTATTGAGAAGACATTCTATGCCACCTTAAACCACACGGCAGCCTTTGTCAACTCTAAAGGGACTGTGTGTACACGGATGTACTTTAGACACTGTTTCTGCTAAGGGGCTCTCTGTGTCCACACTCTTGATGATGCTGCACTTTATGTAGCCTTATAGAACCCTTTAAATTTAGTAGCCAGAGCTCTCTAATTTGTTATTATAGGCTATTTGCTTTTTTTTCTTGAGGCGGAGTCTTGCTCTGTCGCCCAGGCTGGACTGCAGTGACACAATCTCAGCTCACTGCAACTTCTGCCTCCCAGGTTCAAGCGATTCTCGTGCCTCAGCCTCTTGAGTAGCTGGCGTTACAGGTGCCTGCCACCAGGCACGGCTAATTTTTGGATTTTTAGCAGAGACACGGTTTCACTATATTGGCCAGGCTGCTCTCAAACTCCTTATCTCAGTTGATCCGCCCACCTCGGCTTCCCAACGTGCTGGGGAAACTTGATTTTCTATAGCATTATGTTACTGGATATTTCTGTAAAATTTAAAATGAGGGAGGGAGAGAGACAGACGGAAAACAAACTCCAGAGTTGGGACTCTGGAATCTTGGGTCATGAGACAAATTTTAGATTAAACTACAAAACTCCAGAATTTACAGGTGGGGTTTTTACTGATAAAGTACAATTCTAAGATTGTAAATAATTGCATAATCCTTCCCTGGGAATTTAAATCATTTTAACTGGTTCTGCTGTAATACTAGAAATACAAGCATGAAAAATTCTAATGGTTTGTTAGTCACAATGACTCTGAAAACATTAATAATACCTATTAGATATTTTGCATATTACACAGGAAGAAGAGTTTGAATCTCAGATAAAAACAATAGAAATACATGAAAAGTCTTTCATGTTAGCACAGATTTTAGGCATCTCGTGTTCGGGAGGTTGGATCTCAGACGTGTTTTGAGTTGGTCATAGTGAAGGACACTAGGTGTCAAATTCTAGCAAGAACAATTTCCAGGAAGCCGTGTTCCGCTCTTGAGCGAGCAACCACTGGGCCTCATGCAAGGTAGAAAGAGCCTGCGTACGTCACCCTCCCATGATGTGGTCAACATGTAAACTGCATGGGCAGGGCGCCAAATAACATCCTGTGCGCTGCTGAGCTGAGCTCGGTCGCGGCTGCCTGTCTGCTCCGGCAGCACCATGTCGCTCTTGGTCGTCAGCATGGCGTGTGTTGGTGAGTCCTGGAAAGCAATAGAGGGAGGGAGTGAGGGGATGGAGATCTGGGCCCAGAGGTGGAGATATAGGCCTGGAGGTGGAGTTATGGGCCTGGAGTGGAGATCTGGGCCTGGAGTGGATATATGGGCCTAGAGATGGAGTGATGGGCCTAGAAGTGGAGATCTGGGCCCAGAGGTCGAGATATAGGCCTGGAGGTGGAGTGATGGGACTGTAGTGGAGATCTGGGCCTGGAGTGGAGATAGGAACCTGGAGGGGAGATAGGAACCTGGAGGGGAGATATGGGCCTGGAGGTGGAGATATGGGCCTGGAGTGGAGTCATGGGCCTGGAGGTGGAGTTACGGGCCTGCAGTAGAGATATGGGCCTGAAGTGGAGACATGGGCCTGGAGTGGAGATATGGGCCAGGAGTGGAGATATGGGCCTAGAGGTCGATATCTGGGCCTGGAGTGGAGATATGGGCCAGGAGTGGAGATATGGGCCTAGAGGTCGATATCTGGGCCTGGAGAGGAGATATGTGCCTAGGATGGAGATACGGGCCTGGGTGTGGAGATATGGGACTGGAGAGGATATATGGGCCTGGAGTGGAGATATGGGACTGGAGAGGAGATATGGACCTGGAGTGGAGATAAGGGCCTGGATTGGAGATATGGGCCCAGGGTGGAGATCTGAGCCTGGATTGGAGATATGGGCCTGGATTGGCGATATGGGCTTAGGGTGGAAATATCGGCCTGGAGTGGAGATATGGGCCTGGAGTGGAGATATGGGCTTGAGGTGGGGATATGGACCTGGAGGCTGGGTCTCTGCACAGCCGACAGCCCTGTTCTTGGGTGCAGGTAGGCACTGAGAGTGAGTTTACCTTCAGCCCAGGAAGGGCCTGGCTACCAAGACTCACAGCCCAGTGGGGGCAGCAAGGGTGCCCTGGTTTGCCTGCAGATGGGTCATCCATCATGATCTTTCTTTCCAGGGTTCTTCTTGCTGCAGGGGGCCTGGCCACATGAGGGTGAGTCCTTCTCCAAACCTTCGGGTGTCATCTCCCCACATAAGAGGATTTTCCTGAAATGGGAGGGAAGTCCTGTCAGGGAGTCTCTCATAAACTAGGAAGAAGGGACCCTGGGGTGCTGGGCCCACATTTCTGACCTTGCCTCCCTGGCCTTTCATTCCCTTGGCAGAGTCAAGTTCTGTGGGGACCAGGGTTAGACTACGGTGCTCAAAGCTGGGGTGTGTGGTGGGGAAGTGGTAGGAACAGCAGATCCTCTGAGGACAAAGGTGTTACTCACACACTTCAGCGTTTCCATGACGGTAGGGGCTGCAGTGTGGCTGCTGTCATTCTACCAGAAGAGGTGGGAAAACCACAGCCATGGCCCTGACATTCCAATCCTCTGATGGGGACTCAGTTGTTTATTTTCGTTCAGGCATCGGCTGATATTCCATTCTCAAAGGACATGCCCTCCACCCCATGTCTACCCTGTGTTGTTTTATGTGAGTAATCTTACAGTATTAAAATCTAGTAGGAGTCTCTTACTCAGCACTTGCTCAAAGTTCTCAGCTGACACTTTTGTTGTAGGGAGACACCTTGTGTTTGCGGGATGGGTCCTTCCTTTAGCCCTGGGCACCAAGGTGTGATAGCAGCCATAGAAACTTGGAAAGCGAGGAGAATCTTCAGAGCACAGGGAGGGAGGGGTGGCTCCACATCCTCCTCTCTAAGGCGGTGCCTCCTTCTCCCCAAGGTGGTCAGGACAAGCCCTTGCTGTCTGCCTGGCCAAGCCCTGTGGTGCCTCCAGGACATGTGATTCTTCAGTGTCATTCTTATCTTGGGTTTAACAACTTCAATCTGTAAAAGGAAGATGGGGTGCCTGTCCCTGAGCTCTACAACATAATATTCTGGAACAGCCTTTTCATGGGCCCTGTGACCCCAGCACACGCAGGGACCTATACATGTCGGGGTTCACAACCACACTACCCCAGTGGGTGGTCGGCACCCAGCAACCCCCTGGAGATCACGGTCACAGGTCAGAGGGCTCCTGTCTGGGATTCTCCTTGTCCCACCTCCTGAATCCCAGAGCTCCTGGTGGGCGTGTCCTTGCGGGTCCCATCATGCAAGTCCTGACTGTATTTGGGGTAAAGGGGGATTGAATACAGGGAAATGGGTGCTGTGGTGGGAAGAATAATTGTCCCCAGTGATGACTACATTCTAATCCCTGGAGTCTGTGACTATTTATGATATAGGGGAAGGGACTGAAGGAGAAGATGGAGCTCAGGTTGTTGATGAGTTGACCTTGAGATGGGGAGACAGCCTGGACTGTCCTGATGGGCTCAGTGTAGTCACAGGGGTCCACATGAAAGGAGGAGGAAGAGGGGAGTGGGGATTACAGCAGCATAATGGGAGTCTCCATCAGCTTTGAAGGTGGAGGAAGTCCAGGAGCCATGAATGCAGGTGGCCTATAGAGGCTGGAAAAGTCAAGGAACTGATTCTCCTGAGTCTCCAGAGGGAACGAAGCCCTGCAGGTACCTTGATTTTACCCACGACAAACAGGGTCCGATTTCTGTCTCCAGAATTGGAAGGGGTTAGTGTGCTCTCTCCTGCTGCCATGCTTCTGATAATTTTCTACAGCAGCAACAGGAAACCAACACTGGAACCCAGGTCAAGGACAGGTTAAGAAACAACACAAGGATAGCCAGGCATGGTGGCAGGTGCATGTAATCCTAGCGACTTGGGAGGCTGAGGGCAGGAGAATCACTTGAACCCAGGAGACAGAGGTTGCAGTAAGCCTAGACCACACCACTTCACTCCAGCCTGGGCAAAGGAGTGAGACTCTGTCGCCAAAATTAATTAATTAATTAAAGAAACCAAACAAGGAGAAGGTTGGCTACACTGAGATCAGCAAGGCTCGGATGATGATGCCACCACCAGGCTCCATCCACATAGGGAGCGGTTGATACTCCTCCAACCAGCACCAGGAGCCAGGCTATGGAAGCTGGCACTGGCATGGCAAGAGTGTCTCCCAGTCCCTACCAGGAACAGGGTGTGTGGCCACTGGTGCCTGCCTTACTGATCAGTTCATACCTCCTGCCAAGGATTCCAATTCGTCCAAAAGAGATTGAACCAGGCTGCTAAGAGCCTGGATGTGCAGCCTATCCTGGTTCCTCTTCCACCCCCACATAGACAGCAGGAAAGACATTAGTTCGAAATAGATACAACAGCCCAAGAGATGAGGCTGAGCCCAGCGGCAAGGGAATCAGAGGCTACTAGAGACAGAGGGACAGAGAAGAGTGAGGGAGACAGATGGAAGGACCTGCACCAGGAGTTATGGGCACAGAAAAGAACATGAAGACACAGAGAGGAAGGAGAGAGATAAGACACCAGGAAGGGGAAGCCTCACTCAATCCAGGTGCCATGGATGGGATGATAAAGAGAGACACCTTCTAAACTCACAACCTCTCTTCCTAGGAGTCCACAGAAAACCTTCCCTCCTGGCCCACCCAGGTCGCCTGGTGAAATCAGAAGAGACAGTCATCCTGCAATGTTGGTCAGATGTCATGTTTGAACACTTCCTTCTGCACAGAGAGGGGATGTTTAACGACACTTTGCGCCTCATTGGAGAACACCATGATGGGGTCTCCAAGGCCAACTTCTCCATCAGTCGCATGACGCAAGACCTGGCAGGGACCTACAGATGCTACGGTTCTGTTACTCACTCCCCCTATCAGGTGTCAGCTCCCAGTGACCCTCTGGACATCGTGATCATAGGTGAGAGTGTCCAGACTTTCTTCTCATTGTCATTGGGATGCAGAGTGAATGATCCAGGACTTGGAGGCCCAGGTGGCTGTAAGGAAGATGAGCTTGGTATTCTTATGGAGAGAGACTGACTTGGTGAGGTCTGTGCCAACAGAGACAGAGAAACAGGAGACACAAGTAGAGACCAGGTGTCATAACAGAGAACAGACACAGGGGCCATACCGGGAGTTTGAAAAGACAGAAAGAGTTAAAGGAGACACACAGACAGACATGTCCCAGAGAGAGGTGTCCCTCCATGCTGACTTTGCTCAGAGACCTGGCACAGGTTAGAAGTTTCATTTCTGTTTTACCTCCACAAAGTGTTCTCTACCAGGAGAACCCAAGGACACCCATATTTCTGACCTGAGTTGGGCCCTGTGGCCTCAGGCCTTGTGGCACCTACAGATGCCATGTTTATTCTGACACCTCTGCCTTCCATGTAATGGAGAGTAATCGTCCCAGGATATCATGGCCCCACAACACCAACCCCTGTATGCTGTGTGAACTTGTAGTCTCCAGACTGGATTCTGAGGCTCATATTCCAAATAAGCCCACTTATGAGAGGATCAGTGAGAGGCACAGAGAGAAATCAGGGACACCAAAAAGCAAAGACATAAACACACAGAGAATGAGCCAGAGGAAGGAGATTGAGAGACTCACAGACACATAAAGAGAGAGAAAAGAGGGCAGAGAAGTGAGAATGATGGAAGGGAGCAGAGAAAAGCACTAAAATTAGACTCCTGAGGGAGAGGCACAAGGACATTGAAAGATGGAGATGTGGGGATGAATTGCAGAGATTCCAAAGAGAACTAGAGAGACCGAGAGGCAGAGCAAGACAGATGATAGATGGATAGATATAGATAGATGATAAATAGGTAGATGATAGATAATAGGTTATAGATACATAGATGATGATTGATTGATTCATTAATAGATGAGACATAGAGATGATGATGATGAAGACAGATAGATAGATAATACATGGAGATACAGAGGCAGACATAGAGAAATCATAGAGAGAGAGAGATGATACATAGATATAGATAATAGATGATTGATGGATAGATAGACAATTGATGGATAAATAGATGATATATAGATATAGATGACAGGTAGAGAATTTGTAGATAGGCACCGAATAGATAAATAGATAGATCGATAGATAATAGATAGAAATATGCAGAAAGTTATGAACAGGACACAAAGTGAGAAACTCAGAATTAAAAAAAGTAACATCAAGTCAACCAATCCAAGGAGAGTCAGAGAGAATAAAACAATCCAAAAAGAGAAAACATATCTAGAGGTGGGGAAGTGAGGTCAGAGACCTAGAGAGACAGAGAAGGTGGAAGGAGGAAATAGACATGAAGAGCGATGGGGTAGAAGGTGAGAGAGAGAGAGAGAGAGAGCATTAGGTCATAGAACAGGGGAGTGAGTTCTCAGCTCAGGTGAAGGGAGCTGTGACAAGGAAGATCCTCCCTGAGGAAACTGCCTCTTCTCCTTCCAGGTCTATATGAGAAACCTTCTCTCTCAGCCCAGCCGGGCCCCACGGTTCTGGCAGGAGAGAATGTGACCTTGTCCTGCAGCTCCCGGAGCTCCTATGACATGTACCATCTATCCAGGGAAGGGGAGGCCCATGAACGTAGGCTCCCTGCAGGGACCAAGGTCAACGGAACATTCCAGGCCAACTTTCCTCTGGGCCCTGCCACCCATGGAGGGACCTACAGATGCTTCGGCTCTTTCCGTGACTCTCCATACGAGTGGTCAAAGTCAAGTGACCCACTGCTTGTTTCTGTCACAGGTGAGGAAAGCCCATGGCTGTCCCATGTCCTATGATCCTAGAGCCTTAGCTGAGGAGCTTCCTGCTGATGATGGAGAGAAGCATGGACAGATGCAGAGAGAAGACGCAGCCTCGGTGTGAGGGAGGGATCAGGGCACAGGATGGCCGACAGGGCACCTCCAAACCCTCCTACATGGCCTGCATGGAGGCCCACGGCCAGGGCTCCAGGCACCCAGGCAGATGGAGAAAGCGGTCAGGAGAGACCCAGAGGAGGGAGACTGGGCTCAGTTTGGGGAGATCAGAGGTTCCCTCAGCCCCTCAACCTTACCCATTTCCCAGAAGCCCATCCTGGCCTCTCACCCACACAGAGATGTCATCACCAGCAACCCCTACACCCTTTACTTTTCTTTGAAGAAATATTTATTGAGGATAAATATACCTATATAGCTTACCACTTTTAACATTTTTTTTTGAGGTGGAGTCTAGCTGTGTCCCCTATGCTGGAGTGCAGTGGCACAATCTCAGCTCACTGCAACCTCCACCTCCTGGGTTCAAGCGATTCTCCTGCCTCAGCCACCTGAGTAGCTGGTGCTACAGGCACGCACCACCACGCCAGGCTACTTTTTGTATTTTTAGTAGGGAGGTGGTTTCACCATGTTGGTCGAGCTGGTCTCGAACTCCTGACCAAGTGATCCACCCGCATCTGCCTCCCAAAGTGCTGGGATTACAGGCATGGGCCACCGCACCCAGCCACATTTACCATTTTTAAGTGTAAAGTCTAGTGGTCATAAATACATTTATATACATATATATATATACATTTTTTTTACCCTCCACCCTTTTCTTCCTGTCCTCCAGTAGCCACCATTCTACTCTCTACCTTCATGAGATCCACCTTTTAGCTCCTGTATATGGGTGAGAAATGGGAATCTTTGTAATGACCTCCAGTTCCATCCATGTGGCTGCAAATGACAGGATGTTATTCTTTCTATGGATGAGTAGTCTCCACTATGCGTATGTACTACATTCTCTCTATCCATTTACCCACTGATGGGCAGGTAGGTTGACTCCTCATCTTGGCTACTGTGAACAGTGCTGCACCAATCATACGAGTGCAGATATCACTTCGATATATTGATTTACTTTCCTTTGGATATAAACCCAGTAGTGAAATTGCTGGATACTATGAAAGTTCTCTTTTTTTCTTTTTTTCTTTTTTGAGAAAGAGTTTCCCTCCTTAGCCCAAGCTGGAGTCAAAGTGGTGCGACCTTGGCTCATTGCAACCTACGCCTCCTGGATTCAAATGATTTTCCTGCCTCAGCCTCCCTAGTAGCTGGGATTACAGGTGCACACCACCATCCCTGGCTACTTTTTGGTTTTTTTAGTATAGATGGGGTTTCCCCATGTTGGCTGGGCTGCTCTCAAACTCATGACCTCAACTGAGGTGCCCGCCTCAGTCTCCCAAAGTGCCGGGATTACAGGCATGATCCACCGCACCCAACCTCTTTTTAGTTCTTTAAAGGACTTCCATACTTTTCTCCGTAATGGCTGTACTAATTTACACTCCTCCCAACAGGGTACCAGGGTTCTCCTTTCTCTACCACCTTGCCAGCATTTCTTTTGCCTGTCTTGCAGCTAAAAGCCATTTTATTTTATTTCATTTTATTTTGAGATGGAGTTTTGCTCTTCTCACCCAGGCTGGAGTGCAGTGGCGCGATCTCGGCTCACCACAACCTCCACCTCCCAGGTTCAAGCGATTCTCCTGCCTCAGCCTCCCGAGTAGCTGGAATTACAGGCACACGCCACCACGCCCGACTAATTTTTGTATTTTTAGTAGAGACAGCGTTTCTCTATGTGGGTCATACTGGTCTCAAACTCCCGACCTTATGAGATTCACCCACCTCAGGCTCTCAAAGTTCTAGGATGACAAACGTGAGCCACCTCACCCGGCCTAAAAGCCATTTTAATGGGGTGAGATGAAAACTCACTTTGAATTTAATTTGCGTTTCTCTGATGATGAGTGATACTGAGCAGTTTTTCGTATGTGGGGAAATTTCATGTCTTTTGCTCCTTTTTCAATTAAATCATTTGTTTTATTGAGTTGTTTGAGCTTCTTATATTTCTAGTTATTAATCCCATCTCAGATGCATAGTTTGCACATATTTGCTCCCAATCTGTGGGTTGTCTCTTCACTTTGTTGGTTTATTTTTAGCGGTGCAGAAGTTGCTTAGTATGAGGTAATCCCAATGGTCTATTTTTGCTTCGATTACTTGTGTTTTCAAGGTTTAAAACAAAATGTCTTTCTTCAGACAAGTGTCCTGGAGCATTTCCCCAATATTTTGTTCTACGTGTTTCATAGGTTCAGGCCTTAGACTCACATCTTTAATCCATTTTCATTTGATTTTTGTGTATGGTGACAGGTAGAGGTGCAGTTTCATTCCTCTGCATGTAGATGTCCAGGTTTCCCTGCACTGTTTATTGAAAAGACTGTCCTTTCCTGATTGTGAGTTCTTGGCATCTTTGTCAAAGTCCATTGGATGGGCTGGGCTTGGTGGCTAACACCTGCAATTTCAGCACTTTGGGAGCCCGAGGTGGGTGGATCACCTGAGGCCAGGAGTTCAAGATTAGTCTGGCCGACGTGATGAAACATCATCTCCACTAAAAATATAAAAATTAGCTGAGCATGGTGGTCAGCACCTGTAATACCACTACTCAGGAGTTTGAGGCAAGAGAATGATTGAACCCAGGAGGCTGAGGTTGCAGTGAACCGAGATTGCACCTTTGCACTCCAGCCTGAGTGACAGAGCAAGACTCCATCTCAAAAGAAAAAATAAAAAACCATTGGATGTAAATGCATGGAATATATCTGTGTTATTCATTCTGCTCCGTTGTTCTATGTGCCTTTCTTTATGCCAATGTCATGCTATTTTGCTTACTACAGCTCTGTAACATATTTTGAGATCAGGTAGTGTGATGCTCCTGTTTTCTCTTTATACCTTGAAGTCTCAAGACAGTGGGTGTCACATAAAAAAATTATGGAAAAAAGGATCCCAGGACTCCCAGGGCCCAATATTAGATAACAGAGTGTTGGCCATGAACCATCCTCAAAGATTTCCACTGAGTGGAGGACAGAAACCCTCATTTCCTCACCTCTCTCCTGTCTCATGTTCTAGGAAACCCTTCAAATAGTTGGCCTTCACCCACTGAACCAAGCTCCGAAACCGGTGAGTACAGAACCCTCTTATATCCGCTTTTGGAAACCTGGGGAGGTGGAAACCTTGGATTCAGGCGTTGACTCAGCATCTCACAGCTCTGACATTGTACACCTGTCTTCCACCATCTCCGAACTCCAGATACTCCTACAGCGAAAGGGATCTGGGCCCAACACAGGGCTCAGTGAAATCTCTTCATCTCTCATTTTATGGAGCTGAGACCTCCTACAAGCTAGAAGAATGATTGCCAATCTGACATCCTTCTCAGGAAAAATGCAATGTTTGTTCTGCCTGCATTCCTAACTGGAGGATAAATTCCTGGAGACTTGAGAGAGGGAAGGGAAGGGAACATCTGATGAGGGCGAGGTGTTTTAGAGAAGTTCCACTTGCCAAGGAATGAGCTCCTGTAGGTCATGAAGCAACCCTGGCTGACTCAGCAGAGCAAGAGCCTTGCCGTAACAGAGAACAGAGCTCATGCACGCACACTTCGACTCACTGACTCATTCAGCCACGGCCCCATGCTCAGGCTGTGCAGTGCGGAACCTTTTCCTATTGTTGCCATAACAAATTTCCACAAGATTCGTGGGTGAAAACAAAACGGTTTTTTAATTATCTTACAGTGCTGTAGCTCAAAGTAGGAAGTGCATCTTACTGGGCTAAAATCAAGGTGACAGCAAGGCTGCCTTCCCTCTGAGGATTCCAGGCACGAATCTGCTTCTCACTTGTCCCAGCTTCTAAAGGCTCCCAGTTCCTTGGCTCCTGGTCCCCTTCCTCCTTCCTCAAAGCCCACAAAGACTGGTCACATCTCACATGGCATCACTCAGTGCCTTCTTCCTTACCACACTTCTTTCTCTGAATGCTGCTCTCCCTTCTTCCTCATCTTTTGAAAACTTGGGGATTCTATTGGGTTCACCAAGATGAAAATCCCTCATAATCTCCTGGAAATCATCCAGGATACCCTTGTTTTAAGTTCAGCTGATTAGTAACCATAATTCCATCTGCAATCTTCATTCCTCCTTTCCATGTAAAATAACATATTCACAAGCTATGGAGGCTAGGACAGGGACATTTTGGGGTGGGACAGCATTCTCCTGCCTTCCACAAACAGTGAACAAGATGCATTTGGCCTCTGCCCTTGGGACACTGATATTGCAGATGGTTAAATGGGAGGGCAGAAAATGAATGCACAAGTGGATCTATAAATGAATGATCCATTGGGAAGCATCTGTGCGTGAAATCTATTTTTTGTTTGTTCTTTTGTTTATTGAGACAGAGTCGCCCTCTGTCTTCCAGGCTACAGTGCAGTGTCACGATCTTGGCTCACTGCAACCTGCGTCTCCTGGATTCAAGTGATTCTCCTGCCTCCGCCTCTCGAGTAGCTGGGATTACAGGCAACTGCCACCGTGCCCGGCTAATTCTTTTTGTATATTTTTTGTAGAGAGGATGTTTCACCACGTTGGCCAAGCTTGTCTGAAACTCCCAACCTCAAGTGATCCGACCGTCTCAGCATGCCAAAGTAATGGGACTACAGGCGTGAGCCACTGTGCCCAGCCAGAATTCAAAATCAATAATAGATAATGCTGAGTGTATGATTTCAGGTGACAAAGAAGGTCTCACTATTCAGATATTTGTGACATTAATGAAAAACACGGATTGAACCCCTGAAAGATTGGCGGAAGGATTTTGCACACACAGCTGTCAGCCGTGAAGGCACAAAGGTGAAAACAATCTGATATGGAAGGAAGAGGCTCTGCCTCAAATGCTGGGAATGATGTGGGGAGAATGACAAGATGACTGTAGAGAGACGGAGAGCACACTGGGTACACAGGAAACTAAGGAGCAACAAGGAGTGTGTGTTTGACACTCACAGCCATTGAATTCACCTCGGGGTAACTAGGAATCCCTACATGATTAATATGACTGACATGAAAATAAGGGAGGCTCAGTTGCATAACTGGAATCTAGGAGACCGTGGAAAAGGCAATTGCCGCCCCACTGGTGAAATGTGGTGCTGATTTAGACACTAAATGAATGAAGTAGATGGATATAAGATATGTTTGTGAGGTAGAATCATTGACTGGAAACGCTTACTGGGTTTGATTTTCCTACTTGTTTAATCCTCGCTTAATTAATTTCTTTCTGAGATTTATTCATCCTACACATAAATCAATACCTGGCAAAGGAGTGACAGATATATGAGGGGTGGTGGAAATGAAGGGACCTATTATAGCATAATATACAAGTCTGTGAACGGTGGCTCACGCCTGTAACCCAGCACTGCAGGAGGCCAAGGCAGGTGGATCACATGAAGTCAGCAGTTCGAGACCAGCCTGGCCAACATGGTGAAACCCTGTCTCTAGGAAAAACACAAAAATTAGCCGAGCATGGTGGTGCATCCCTGTAATCCCAGCTCCTACTCTGGAGGATGAAGCAGGAGAATGACTTCAACCCAGGAGGTGGAGGTTGCAGTGAGTGGAGGTTGCATCACTGCACTCCAGCCTGGGTGGCACAAGGAGACTCCGTCTCAAAAAATAAAAATAAGAAATGCATAAATATAAATATAATATAACACACGCAAATCACAAAGGGACCTGAATTCCAATCATGATTTTTCTATTTCTCTATAATTACTTCTTTGATCCTTTATCTTATCCATTAGGCAATGAGCCTAAAACCTCTTCCCTATTTGGCTTTCTGTGAGCATGAGATCATATAGAAAATGTGAAAGCCCGCTGAATCCTCCAGCACAGATCCTGGAATAGAGAAAGTGCTCTGGTCATCACAAAAAAAACTTGCCCACTCACCCAAATCCCCCACCTCACCCCTACTTCCAATCACCTGTGGAGATTCAGATAGACCATGGGGAGGTAAACATTAACACTCCTTGGAGTGAGTCCAGATCTTGGAATCAGAGATCAGCGTCAGCACTAGCTCCTGCTCCCCTTTCCTACTAATTCACAGGAGGACAGGTGGTTTTGAAGCAATAGATGGCCGAGGGTGTGGTCCTTCCCCCAGCCTCTCGGGTAGAACAGCAGCCTAATATGTGTCTCCCGAGATCACAAAGAGCAGCAGGTTTCACACGGGCTTCAACACTATTTCCTGGCCGTTTGACATAAGAGAATTCTATTTCGCTTTTTTTATCTTGATTTCACTTTTGTTTTCTTTCCTTGGAGAATGCAAGTTGTTTGATTCAAGAATGCTGTGGATGTAGAAACCCTAAAGCACATTCGCTGTGAATCAATCCCAGTCCAGTCTTCCCAGAGAAGACTCTAAACACCTCCTGGACTGCACCTGGGCCTATGCCAATTCCTATCACTCACCGTCACTCCAGGGAGACAGAACACACAGAGAATACGTTACATAGGCAGGTTCATTACTAACAGATAAGCAGCGAGTGACAACAGAAACCTATATTTCAATGTGACCCAGTCCCTCAAGGCTCAGAAAAGCTCCTCGGGACATATGGAGTCACCCCATTTGCAGTGTAGCTGCGGGAAGCCAGAAAGCAGCCCAGCCTGGGTTTTGTACCCTGGAGCCACAGGAAGCACTCAGCTAAAGCACTGCATGACGTCCTCCTCCAGAAAGAACAGGAAGACAGCCCAGGGTGTTCTGAGACGTTCCTCCTGATCTCAGGAAGTTGCTGTCTTAGGCCATTTTTGTTGCTCTAAAGGAACACTTGAGCCTCGGTAACTTCTAAAGAAAAGAGATTGGTTTGCCTCACCGTTCTGCAGGCTGTACTGGAAGCATGGCACCAGCATCTATTTCTCGTGACGGCCTCAGGCTGCTCCCACTCTGGCAGAAGGGAAGGAGGGTCTGTCTGTGCAGAGACCACAGAGATCACACGGCAAGAGAGGGAGCAAGGGGGAGGGGGAGTGATGGAGCTTCCAAGCTCTTTTTAACAACCAGCTCTCCGGGAACTAATAGAGGGGGAACTTGCTAACCCCGTCTCCTTGGGACAGCATTGATGTGTTCATGATGGATCCACCTCCATGACCCAAACACCTCTCAAGAGGCCCAACCTCCCACAGTGGGGGTGAAATTTCAATGTGAGGTTTGAAGGGGTCAAACATCTCAACTAAAGTAGTCGTATCCTCAGCACGTTCTATGGTTACTATGAGAGCTATAACGGAAAAAGCAGGAGAAAGCTGGGTCTCCTGCTATCTGGGTGCTTGTCCTAAAGAGGTGTTTTATGTGGTTACCTGTCAATCAAGAAATGCGAGACAATTCATAAAGAGGAACTGCTAAGATTAGCTTCTTATTGGTGTCTCATCTTCTTCCAGGTAACCCCCGACACCTGCACATTCTGATTGGGACCTCAGTGGTCATCATCCTCTTCATCCTCCTCTTCTTTCTCCTTCATTGCTGGTGCTCCAACAAAAAAAGTAAGTCTCACGAAGCAGAGGCCAGAGAGCTCAGGGCCATGTGGGGAAGCAGGATGGGAGCACTCAGGTGTGTGTTCCTCACAAACAGGATGGTCCCTGGCCCAAGGCAGCAGCCACAGAGGCAGGACTTTCTAGAGAGGGCACCAGACTCCCTGTCCCTGCCTTCAACTCACAGACCGTTGCCTGATTCTGAACTGTATCCTCATGTCCCCTGCAGCCACTCACATCCAGGAGAAGGTTCCATGACAGGCAGAAAGTGGGAGACAGAATCAATGGGATGGGAACTCAGAGCTATTCATGGGATGGGTCCTTGAGCTCAGAGAGATAGAATGTCTGAGTCTGCTGTTGGCAACTGAGGGACCTCAGCCACCTATGGTCTCCCCCTGTATGTTGGTATCTGCTTATGAAATGAGGACCCAGAAGTGCCCTCCGAGCTGTTTTGTTGACTTCCGTCTTCTACAGATGCTGCGGTAATGGACCAAGAGTCTGCAGGAAACAGAACAGCGAATAGCGAGGTAGGTACTCCTCGGCCCGGGCTCGTGGCTACTGTTATTCCCAAAGAGTCCTGGAAAATGTGAGCAACCTCCCTCACTCAGCATTTCCCTCTCTCCAGGACTCTGATGAACAAGACCCTCAGGAGGTGACATACACACAGTTGAATCACTGCGTTTTCACACAGAGAAAAATCACTCGCCCTTCTCAGAGGCCCAAGACACCCCCAACAGATATCATCGTGTACACGGAACTTCCAAATGCTGAGTCCAGATCCAAAGTTGTCTCCTGCCCATGAGCACCACAGTCAGGCCTTGAGGGCGTCTTCTAGAGAGACAACAGCCCTGTCTCAAAACCGGGTTGCCAGCTCCCATGTACCAGCAGCTGGAATCTGAAGGCATGAGTCTGCATCTTAGGGCATCGCTCTTCCTCACACCACAAATCTGAATGTGCCTCTCACTTGCTTACAAATGTCTAAGGTCCCCACTGCCTGCTGGAGAAAAAACACACTCCTTTGCTTAGCCCACAGTTCTCCATTTCACTTGACCCCTGCCCACCTCTCCAACCTTACTGGCTTACTTCCTAGTCTACTTGAGGCTGCAATCACACTGAGGAACTCACAATTCCAAACATACAAGAGGCTCCCTCTTAACGCAGCACTTAGACACGTGTTGTTCCACCTTCCCTCATGCTGTTCCACCTCCCCTCAGACTAGCTTTCAGTCTTCTGTCAGCAGTAAAACTTATATATTTTTTAAAATAACTTCAATGTAGTTTTCCATCCTTCAAATAAACATGTCTGCCCCCATGGTTTCGGTAATGGGACTCTTTTCTTGCCTAAGGCTTCCGGTGTTATCAGTACCATGTCCATATAATCCCATCTGTTCCCCACTGAGTTCTCATCCCCGGACTCTGAGTTTCTGGAAGCAGGGTGGAGCCTCATTTGTCTCTGGGACTCCAATTTCCATCCAAAGATGTAGCACATAGGAGGTTCCAAGGATCACGAATCATATGAACAAGTGATACTCTTACTCTCTGCAGACCTGGAAAGCTGGCAGAGTCATTCCACAATGAAACATTTGTAGAATCATAGGCCTTGTTAGTCTCATCTCCATGGGGACACATATCAACACATCATCTTTCATAATATAAATATACGGTCACTCCTCCATATCTGCGGGGTTTACAGGTGTTTATTGAACCAAGTATAAATCAAAAATATTGAGAGAAAGTATCCACAGAGTTTCAAAAAGCATAACTATGTTGAATGGACACAAATGAAGCTGTGTGTAGGCTGTATCAGGAATTATAAGTAATCTAGAGATGATTTCATGTATACAGGAGGATGTGCATAGGTTATTTGCAAACGCTGTGCCATTTCATATAAGAGGCTTGAGCATCTACAGATTTTGGTATCTGAGTGGAGATCTCAAAACCAATCACCCACGAATAGTGAAGGATGACCGTATATGACTTTTATTTCTCAAATTTAAATATAAATCATAAAAAATGTACAACTAGATAAAAACTAAGAAGTGTTTTTATAGTGTGAGTTAGATTTATTTTTTCCTAGGTGTAACCAATTGGTTTAATATTATTTATTGAGAAGACATTCTATGCCACCTTAAACCACACGGCAGCCTTTGTCAACTCTAAAGGGACTGTGTGTACATGGATGTATTTTAGACACTGTTTCTGCTAAGGGGCTCTCTGTGTCCACACTCTTGATGATGCTGCACTTTATGTAGCCTTATAGAACCCTTTAAATTTAGTAGCCAGAGCCCTCTAATTTGTTATTATAGGCTGTTTGCTTTTTTTTTCTTGAGGCGGAGTCTTGCTCTGTCGCCCAGGCTGGACTGCAGTGACACAATCTCAGCTCACTGCAACCTCCGCCTCCCAGGTTCAAGCGATTCTCGTGCCTCAGCCTCTTGAGTAGCTGGCGTTACAGGTGCCTGCCACCAGGCACGGCTAATTTTTGGATTTTTAACAGAGACACGGTTTCACTATATTGGCCAGGCTGCTCTCAAACTCCTTATCTCAGTTGATCTGCCCACCTCGGCTTCCCAACGTGCTGGGGAAAACTTGATTTTCTATAGCATTATGTTACTGGATATTTCTGTAAAATTTAAAACGAGGGAGGGAGAGAGACAGACAGAGAGCAAACTCCAGAGTTGGGACTCTGGAATCTTGGGTCATGAGACAAATTTTAGATTAAACTACAAAACTCCAGAATTTACAGGTGTGGTTTTTGCTGATAAAGTACAATTCTAAGATTGTAAATAATTGCATAATCCTTCCCTGGGAATTTAAATCATTTTAGCTGGTTCTGCTGTAATACTAGAAATACAAGCATGAAAAATTCTAATGGTTTATTAGTCACAATGACTCCGAAAACATTAATAATACCTATTAGATACTTTGCATATTACACAGGAAGAAGAGTTTGAATCTCAGATAAAAACAAAAAAAATACATGAAAAGTCTTTCATGTTAGCACAGATTTTAGGCATCTCGTGTTCGGATAAAAATACATGAAAAGTCTTTCACGTTAGCACAGATTTTAGGCATCTTGTGTTCGGGAGGTTGGATCTGAGACGTGTTGTGAGTTGGTCATAGTGAAGGACGTGAGGTGCCAATTCTAGTGAGAACAATTTCCAGGAAGCCGTGTTCCGCTCTTGAGCAAGCATCCACTGGGCCTCATGCAAGGTAGAAAGAGCCTGCGTACGTCACCCTCCCATGATGTAGTCAACATGTAAGCTGCATGGGCAGGGCGCCAAATAACATCCTGTGCGCTGCTGAGCTGAGCTGGGGCGCGGCCGCCTGTCTGCACCGGCAGCACCATGTCGCTCATGGTCGTCAGCATGGCGTGTGTTGGTGAGTCCTGGAAAGGAATAGAGGGAGGGAGTGCCACATCCTCCTCTCTAAGGTGGCGCCTCCTTCTCCCCCAGGTGGTCAGGACAAGCCCTTCCTCTCTGCCTGGCCCAGCCCTGTGGTGTCTGAAGGAGAACATGTGGCTCTTCAGTGTCGCTCTCGTCTTGGGTTTAACGAATTCAGTCTGTCCAAAGAAGACGGGATGCCTGTCCCTGAGCTCTACAACAGAGTATTCCGAAACACCGTTTTCATAGGCCCTGTGACCCCAGCACATGCAGGGACCTACAGATGTCGGGGTTCACACCCACACTTCCTCACTGGGTGGTCAGCACCCAGCAACCCCCTGGTGATCATGGTCACAGGTCAGAGGGCTCCTGTCTGGGATTCTCCTTGTCCCACCTCCTGAGTCCCAGAGCTTCTGGTGGGAGTGTCCACCAGCGTCCCATCATCCAGACCCTAACTGTATTTGGGATAAAAGGGGATTGAATACAGGGAAATGGGTGCTGTGGTGGAAAGAATAATTGTCCCCAATGATGACTGCATTCTAATCCCTGCAGTCTGTGACTATTTATGTTATAGGGGAAGGCACTGAAGGGGAAGATGGAGCTCAGGTTGTTGAGTTGACCTTGAGATGGGGAGACAGCCTGGACTGTCCTGCTGGGCTCAGTGTAATCACAAGGGTGCACATGAGAGGAGAAGGAAGAGGGGAGTGGCGATTAGAGCAGTGCAATGGAAGTCTCCATCAGCTTTGAAGGTGGAGGAAGGCCATGAGCCATGAATGCAGGTGGCCTATAGAGGCTGGAAAAGTCAAGGAACTGATTCTCCTGGGTCTCCAGAGGGAACGCAGCCCTGCAGATGCCTTGATTTTAGCCCTCAAAAAACAGGGTCCGATTTCTGTCTCCAGAAACGGAAGGGGTCAGTGTGCTCTCTCCTGCTGCCATGCTTCTGATAATTTTCTACAGCACCAACAGGAAACCAACACTGGAACCCAGGTCAAGGACAAGATAAGAAAGGACACAAGGATAGCCGGGCGTGGTGGCAGGTGCATGTAATCCTAGCAACTCAGGAGGTTGAGGGCAGGAGAATCACTTGAACCCAGGAGACAGAGGTTGCAGTGAGCCTAGACCACACCACTTCACTCCAGCCTGGGTGAAGGAGTGAGACTCTGACTCCAAAATTAATTAATTAATTAAAGAAACCAAACAAAGAGAAGGTTGGCTACACCGAGATCAGCAAGGGTGGGATGATGATGCCACCACCAGGCTCCATCCACATAGGGAGGGGTTGATACTCCTCAAACCAGCACCAGAAGCCAGCCTATGGAAGCTGGCACCATGGAGAAGGCACAGGCATGGCAAGAGTGGCTCCCAGTCCCCACCAGGAACAGGGTGTGTGGACACTGGTGCCTGCCTTACTGATCAGTTCATACCTTCTGCCAAGGATTCCAATTCGTCCAAAAGAGATTGAACCAGTCTGCTAAGAGCCTGGACGTGCAGCCTATCCTGGTTCCTCTTCCACCCCCACATAGAAGCAGGAAAGACATTAGTTCGAAATAGATACAACAGCCCAAGAGATGAGGCTGAGCCCAGCGGCAAGGGAATCAGGAGCTACTAGAGACAGAGGGACAGAGAAGAGGGAGGGAGACAGATGGAAGGACCTGTACCAGGAGTTATGGGCACAGAAAAGAACATGAAGACACAGAGAGGAAGGAGAGAGATAAGACACCAGCGAGGGGAAGCCTCACTCATTCTAGGTGCCATGGATGGGATGATAAAGAGAGATGCCTTCTAAAGTCACAACCTCTCTTCCTAGGAGTCCACAGAAAACCTTCCCTCCTGGCCCACCCAGGTCCCCTGGTGAAATCAGAAGAGACAGTCATCCTGCAATGTTGGTCAGATGTCATGTTTGAGCACTTCCTTCTGCACAGAGAGGGGAAGTTTAATGACACTTTGCGCCTCACTGGAGAGCTCCATGATGGGGTCTCCAAGGCCAACTTCTCCATCGGTCGCATGACGCAAGACCTTGCAGGGACCTACAGATGCTACGGTTCTGTTCCTCATTCCCCCTATCAGTTGTCAGCTCCCAGTGACCCTCTGGACATCGTGATTACAGGTGAGAGTGTCTGGACATTATTCTCATTGTCACTGGGACACAGAGTGAATGATCCACGACTTGGAGGCCCAGGTGGTTATAAGGAAGATGAGCTTGGTATTCTTATGGAGAGAGACTAACTTGGTGAGGTCTGTACCAACAGAGACAGAGAAACAGGAGACACAAGTACAGACCAGGTGTCATAACAGAGGACAGACACAGGGGCCATACCGGGAGTTAGAAAAGACAGAAAGAGTTAAAGGAGACACAGACAGACATGTGCCAGAGAGAGGTGTCCTTCCATGCTGACTTTGCTCAGAGACCTGGCACAGGTTAGAAGTTTCATTTCTGTTTTACTTCCACAAAGTGTTCTCTACCAGAAGAACCCAAGGACACCCATATTTCTGGCCTGAGTTGGGCCCTGTGGCCTCAGGCCTTCTGGCACCTACAGATGCCGTGTTTATTCTGACACCTCTGCCTTCCATGCAATGGAGAGTAATCGTCCCAGGATATCATGGCCCCAGAACATCAACCCCTGTATACTGTGTGAACTTGCGGTCCCCAGACTGGATTCTGAGGCTCACATTCCAAATAACCCCACATATGAGAGGATCACTGAGAGACACAGAGAGAAATCAGGGACACCAAAAAGCAAAGACATAAACACACAGAGAATGAGCCAGAGGAAGGAGATTGAGAGACTCACAGACACATAAAGAGGGAGAAAAGAGGGCAGAGAAGTGGAGAGAACAATGGAAGGGAACAGAGAAAAGCACTAAAATTAGAGTCCTGAGGGAGAGACACAAGGACATAGAAAGATGGAGATGTGGGGATGAATTGCAGAGATTCCAAAGAGAACTAGAGAGACCGAGAGGCAGAGCAAGACAGATGATAGATGGATAGATATAGATAGATGATAAATAGGTAGATGATAGATAATAGGTTATAGATACATAGATGATGATTGATTCATTCATTGATTAATCGATGATACATAGAGATGATGAAGATGAAGATAGATAGATAATACATAGAGATAGAGAGGCAGACAAAGAGAAATCATAGAGAGAGAGAGACGATACATAGATATAGATAATAGATGATTTTTGGATAGACAATTGATAGATAAATAGATTATATATAGATATAGATGACAGGTAGAGAATTTGTAGATAGGCACCAAATAGATAAATAGATTTATCGATAGATAATAGATAGAAATATGCAGAAAGTTATGAACAGGACACAAAGTGAGAAACTCAGAATTTAAAAAAAGTAACATCAAGTCAACTAGTCCAAGAAGAGTCAGAGAGAATAAAACAATCCAAAAAGGGAAAACATATCTAGAGGTGAGAAAGTGAGGTCAGAGACCTAGAGAGACAGAGAAGGTGGAAAGAGGAAATAGACATAAAGAGAGATGGTGTGGAGGGTGAGACAGAGAGAGAGAGCATTAGGCCATAGAGCAGGGGAGTGAGTTCTCAGCTCAGGTGGGAGGGGAGTTGTGACAAGGAAGAACCTCCCTGAGGAAACTGCCTCTTCTCCTTCCAGGTCTATGTGGGAAACCTTCTCTCTCAGCCCAGCCGCGCCCCATGGTTAAGGCAGGAGAGAGCGTGACCTTGTCCTGCAGCTCCCGGAGCTCCTATGACATCTACCATCTATCAAGGGAGGGGGAGGCTCATGAACTTAGGTTCCCTGCAGTGCCCAAGGTCAATGGAACCTTCCAGGCCAACTTTCCTCTGGGCCCTGCCACCCACGGAGGGACCTACAGATGCTTCGGCTCTTTCCGTGACTCTCCCTACGAGTGGTCAGACCTTAGTGACCCACTGCTTGTGTCTGTCACAGGTGAGGAAACCAGTCTGTTCCCCAAATAGTGGGACTCAGATGGACTACAATGGCCACATTCAGGGGAGCCTCAGATGGAGGGGGTGGCCATGGGGGTGTCAGCCAGAGACGCTGGATAGAAGACACACAAAGCAAACATACAGAAAGAGGCATAGACAGACAGACAGAGCGAGGCAGACAGATCACATTAGGGTTTGGGGTGGTAACTGCAACCCTACCTGAAGCTTGCAGATAGAGCACAGGCCACATAAACCACTTCCCAGTCTTTGTACAGAAGCCCACCTGGGACACATGTAAACAGCATCAATGCTGACTCAGGAGCATGAAAGGCCGGGCTCAGATTGGAAAGACTAGAGGTAGCATTGGCCGCCCGCCATTGCCCATTTCCAGAAGCCCCCACCTCTCACCAAAGAGTGATTTCCACATGGGGGGCACAGATGCAACCATCGTTGGGGGAGCCCCAATGTCTCTTGATGGGAGGCATTTTCCACCCTAGATGTTTTTTGCTCTCTCCACACCTTGGAGACTCAGTGGGGGAGTCTTCTCTGGGGACTCGGGGAGGGCCTCCCTGGGACTCGCAGGATTTCCAAGCTAGATGACAACATGACAGGTGGAAACAGGCCCATTCCTTCGCCAGGGGCCCCAAGCTCCATCCCAGGAGATGAGAAGAGGCTCTTCTCATTGGTCAGTGGATCCCTGAGGGGACAGAGGCTCAGCACTGAAGGCTGAGAAGGATCTGCCACTTCGCTCAGTGGCCTCAAGCCAGACATCTTCCCTACAGACTTGCAGTGATTCTCCATCAGCATTTAGGGCTGTGGCCACCAACCTGGGTGTTGGTCTGTAGGAACTTTTCATTTCTGACCTTCCATAACTGAGTTCTCTTCCTAAATGTGGAATGCCTTGTACTCCATGTTACTCTCTCCCCAGAAAGAATGTGTGGCTTGTCTGCTCTCCAGCCCTGTCATGGAGATTGATAATCCTTAGGGAGCAAGAGGAGAGGGAAAGAACAAAGTATGAGACCACCTAGGTGCTACTGGTTGAGGTTCCATTTGCCAGTGAAGGGACTTCACTCAGCCGAGGGGGCAACTCAGGGAAGTCAGCCGAGGGAGGGCATTAGAGTAGAGAGAACTGAGCTCACCCAGTAAATGACCCCTTCACTAACTCATTCATCTAATATTTATTTCACACCTACCATCAGTTCTCTCTGTTTCACGGCCAGGAGTAGACAGCACGGCCAAGCTCCTGGGTTCATGATGCTCACATTGCTGTGGGGTGGGAGAGAGAGGCAGAACATGAATGAATGAATGAGAGAATGAATGAATGAGTGAATGATGGAATGAGTGAATGAATGAATGAATGAATGTATGAATTAGTGAGTGAATCCTTAGCACTTGGTGAAAGTGCCATGCACAGAATGAAATGAATGAACGTGGAACGTTGTCATTTGGAGTGTACAGGAGGGAACGTCTCACTGAGACCTCATCAGAGAGATCACATTTAAACTCCGATCTTAGAGACAAGAGGGAGTGAGCCCTGGGGAGTGTGTTGAAAGGAACTTTCATGGACTTAGGACATTGGGGATGACCCTAATGTGAGAATGAGCTTGGTGTGTTCCAAGAAGTCCATGGACCTGCCATATGGTGAGGGCTGGTCAGAATCCAGAGAGATTTCTAAATGCCCTTGTGCTTGTAAGGAAAGTGAGTCCTGTGGTTGGGAGTGGACTTATACCTTGGGTCAGGTCCAGCAATTATCTTTCTAAATCCTCTCTAATTGCCTGAACCACTTCTATCAACAACTGAGAAAAGAGGAGTGTTAAACACCCCACTGTGGCCGTGGATTTGCCTACCTGTCCATTTATTTCCGCGACTCTTCCTCCATGTATATTTGCAGGAATATTACTGGGAGTGGTTAAGTGTAAACTGATTATATATTCCTGGTAAATTTAAAATGCTATAAATTTACCTGCTTTTTTCCTACATTTTATGCTTAATGTTTTCCGCTGATTTTTCCCAAAGACTAATTTTGTCTAATTTTAATATAGTTATACCACATTTCTAACAGTGATTGCTTGGTATATTTCTACATTGTTTAATTTCAAACTCCATGAATTGTTAACATTGAGATGTGTCCTTTGTAAATTTCAAACAATTCGCCTTAGAAAGTAAGACTTTCTGACAATCTTTTGTTCATGTTTGAGCAGTTCTTCCAATCATATTTTTGTTATTATTACGTTGTGTTTTCCTGATTCCCTTTTTTTCCCACTGACTTCTGTGGTTTTCTATTTCAAACATTCTATTTTTGATCTATGTCGTTTAGGAATACATATATGGTGTACTCATCCTGAAGTTGTTACATATTTTTAAAATTGAAATTAATCATTTCAGAGATTAAACTGCAAATATAAAAACATATTTCCACTCTTCCTGTGTAAGAACAGGATTTTAGAGCATATTTAGTACATATGTTTGTATTTACTTATATGATGTTTTGTTTTGTGGTATACATAATTCTATCTTTTTCAGAAATTACACAGGGGCGTGTTTTCATACACTATCGTATGGTCCATATTCATTTTTGGCATAGCCATATTTTTAGTTCTTCCTCTGCTCTTAGTTATTGTCAGAATCTTCGACACCCCATCTGGTTTCACTTTCTTTATCTTTGAGGCACGGTCATCAGAATTTCCTTTAGGGTCAGTGAGAAAAGCTTTCTTTGCCCTTTTGTCTTTCAGTTCTGTTTCTTTCCTGCGTTGATCTTGGACAGTAACTGTACTATGTAAGGAATTGTCGGTGGCTGGCGACGGTATCTTAGCTGGGTAAAGATGCTATTCTACTGGCTTATGTTTTCCTTTTTTCTGTGGGGAAGACAATGCTTGGCTCCCTATAAATCCTTACCAGCTGATCCTTTTCCTCTGGCTAATTTTAAGGGTTGGTTGTGCTTTTATGCTGCTTTTCTGTAATGTTGAACGTGAGGTGTGTTTACTTCATTCTGCCTGGCATTCACTGGATTTCTTGAACCTGTGGATTGATGGATGTGTCTACTTCCTCCAAATAATCAACAATTGCCTCTTTAAAGATTGCTTCTGACCTGTTTTCTCGTTCTTTCTTTTTGGAACTCAAGTTAGGAGCATTCTAAAACTGTTGTCAATTTTTACCCTGTCACAAAACTGCTCTTTCTTGTTTCAGTTATTTGCTTTTTCTGTGCATTAATATTGATGGTTTCCTCTGTCATAGAGGATAAATACTCTCTTCACTGTTGTGTACACAACATTTTAACTAGTTATTCTGGTTTAAATTTAATATTGACTTTATCTACATATCACAATTGATTACTGTGTACAGACTTTCTTTTCTATTAGTATAAATTTATGAGGTACACTTGTAATTTTGTGACATGAGTATGTTGCAGAGTAGTGAAGTCAGGACTTTTACTATATCCATCACCCAAATACCGTACATTGTACTCATTAAGCAAATTCTCATCACTCACCCACGTCCCGCCACCCTCCAGCCTTCTAGCCTCCGCTGTCCGTCATTCCACACTCTACGTCCATATGTACACATTACTCCCCTCCCATGTAGAGTGAGAAGATGTGGTATTTGTCTTTCTGAGTGGTTTTATGTAAAATAATGGCGTCCAGCTCCATCTATGTTGCTGCAAAAGACATGGTTTTATTTTTATGACCAAATAGTATTTCGTTGTGTATACACGCATCCTTTTTTTAATCCAATCATTCATTCACAGACACTTAGATTGATTTCATATCTTTGCTATTGCAAACAGTGCTGCAATAAACATACAGGTGCAGGTATTTTTTGAGTAGATACCCAGCAGCGGGACCCCTAGATCGAATGGTGCTTCTATTTTTGGTTCTCTGCCAAATTTCCATACTGTCTTCCATAGAGGCTATACTAATTTACATACCGGCCAACAGTGTATAAGAGTTTCCTTTTCTCTGCATCCTTGCCAACACCTGTTATATGTTTCACTTTTTCTTTTTTTCTTTTTGAGATGGAGTCTTCCACTGTCACCCAGGCTGGAGTGCAGTGCCGCCATCTCCACGCGCTGCAACCTCCACCAACCAGGTTCAAATGATTCTCCTGCCTCAGCCTCCTGAGTAGCTGGGATTACAGAACCACACCACCATGCCCAGCTAATCTTTTGTATATTTAGTAGAGATGGGGTTTCACTATGTTGGTCAGGCTGGTCTCAAACTCCTGACCTCATGATCCACCCGCCTCAGCTTCCCAAAGTGCTGGGATTACAAGCGTGAGCCACCACTCCCCACCAGCATTTTTAGTAATAGCCATTCTGACTACTGTAAGATGATATCTCATTGTGGTTTCAATTTGCATTTCTCTGATGATTAGTGATGTTCATACGCTGTTTGGCCATTCGTATGTCTTCTTTTGAAAAATGTCTATGTATATCCCTTTGCCCACTTTTTAATGCTATTATTTGAGGGGTTATGTTTAGTTGTTTGAGTTGCCTAGAAATTCTGGATGTTAGTCCTCTGTTGGGTGCATAGTTTGCAAACATTTCCATTCATTCTGTGGGTTGTCTGTTCACCCTGCTACTATTTCCTTTGCTTGGCAGAAGCTCTTTCGTTTATTAAGTCCCATTGGTCTAGTTTTATTTTTATTGCCTGTGCTTTTGAGGTCTTAGTGATGAATTCTTTGCCCAGACCAATGCCCAGAAGAGTTTCTCTTTGGGTTTCCACCGGTGATTTTATAGTTCTGGATTTACATTTAAGCTGCTAATTACCTTAAGTTAATTTATGTGTATGATTACAGATACAGGTCCAGTTTTATTCTTCTGCATATGGCTATTTAGTTTTCCCAGCACCTTTTATTGAAAAGGAAATCTTTCTCCAGTGTATGTTTTGTTAACGTCGTCAATGATTATTCACTGTAGATATGAGGCTGTATTTCTGGGCTCTCTATTCTGGTCTATTGATCTCTGTTTCTGTGTCTATACCAGCACTGTGCTATTTAAGTTACTATAGCCTTAGAGCATAGTTTGAAGTCAGATAGCGTGATGCCTCCAGGTTTCTACATTCACCTAGAATTGCTTTCTCTATTAGGATCTTTTTTGGTTCTGTATGAATTTTAGGATTGCTTTTTCTAATTCTGTGAAAACTGGTGTTACTATTTTCATATAAGAATTGCACTGAATCTGTAGATTGCTTTAGGCAGTATGGTCATTTTAACAATATTAATTCTTATGATCCATGAGCGTGGGATTTTTTTTCTTTTTTTTTTTTTGTATTATCTATAATTGCTTTCATTGGTGTCTTACACCTTTCCTGGTACAGATCTTTCACCACCTTGGTTAAATGTATTCCTGAGTGTTTTAATTTTGCGTATCTATTGTAAACGGCATTGCCTTCTTGATTTGGTTCTCAGCTAGATCATTATAGGTGTAGAGAAATGCTACCGGCTTTTACATATTGATTTTGTATTCTGAAACTTTACTTAGTTCATTTATCAATCATAAGAATTTTTGGCAGGGTCTTTAGGATTTTCTAGATTTAAGATCATAGCATCAGAAATAAAAATAATTTTACTTCCTCTTTTCTAATTTGGATTTTTACTTCTTCCTGTTGCCCAATAGCTCTGACAAGGCTTCCAGTACTATGTTGATAGGAAGTGGTGGATGTCCGTGTCCTTGTCTTGTGCCAGTTCTCAGAGGAGTGCTTTTAACTTTTCCTGTTCAGTATGATGTTGACTCTAGATATGTCATCTATGGCTTTTATTATTTTGAGGTATGTTCTTTCTATGCCTAAGTTTTTGAGGGTTTTCATCAGGTAAGGATGTTGAATTTCTTTTCAGATGCTTTTCTTTATGTCTATTGAGATGATCATATGGTTTTTGTTCTGGATTCTGCTCGTTCTTCTAAGTGGATGAGACATGCCAGAAAAGCATTTAGTCAGCCATCTTGGAAACAAGCATCTCAGATGTTTTCTTTCTCTATAGCTCATTCTTTCTTACCAGTGTTTTCAATTTTGTACTTAATTTTGTAAAGAGAGTAAATGATATAATTTCCACATATGTTTCCTCTGCCAAATCAGACTCACTATGCTTCCTTTCCTTGTATGCATAACCTACCCAGCAATACACACAAACATTTATTGCTTTGGAGAATTAGTTTGGGAACATTTTTGAAATGTACAAAAAAATGTATATCTTCAAAAGAAATTTCTTTTTGTGGCAAAAGACTTCTGAAGGTGCTCATGATGATATAGGGAGAAGAGGGGTTCTGGACAGGAAGAATTTTATGAAGGTGAGATGGGGAAATAGCTCCATTTCAGAGCTTCTGGGGAGAGAGGGGCCTGGCCCACATGGAAAGGTCTCTGATCTTACCCCCACCCTCCAGCCCCTGTTCTCCAGAACTATACTGTGGAGAGTTCCATCAGGATTGTTGTGGCTGGTCTGGTCTTCCTGGCTCTTTTGGCAATGCTGGCTAAGACCTGGTGGAGACATGAGGGGCCACAGGTGGAAATGGAAGAAACATGACTGAAGCTGGCTGGAGTGAATGGCGCGACATTCTGTCTGTGGGAGATTGGCCAGATGGGTTTCAAGTGTGTTGTATCAGCTGTGACTTTTAGTAATGTTCTTGCTACCACAATATCCACTCGTCCATCCCGAATAATTGTGATGAAATATTGTCCTTGGGATAATATTCATTTGCTAAAGACAGGGATGATACCTCAAGGTGCCACAATATACATCGAGGGGATCCACAAAAGTCCATTCAGTAAAATGTAGTTGGCATCTTAGGGTAGGTTGATTCCACCTCTAAAAAAGTAGGTACAACATCAGGTTGATTTTTCCGAAGAAAAGTGGTGATTGGCCATCTTTAGTCTCAATGTAAACGGTAATACTGATGAGTGTGGAAAAGGCAGGGAAGAGGATTGACAATAAGTGACACTCATTGTTTTCATCTGAGCTTTGAGACTGAAAGAGGAACACAGGAGTGAGATGTATGGGAACAAACCCCTTCTTTTTCCAGCTAAACAGAGTGGAAGTTGGACACTGAGTTTTGGCGTACAGCAAAATCCTAAGTCCATTGTTGGGTTGAACACGGCCATGTTGTACATCCTGGTTTCACAGCAGACACTGGAGGAAAACAGCCTGTATTCATAAGAGGCTGTCCCTCGGGTCACTGCCCAGAATATCCGGAGTTGGTGCTCACAGGGTTGGGAACTCTCCTGGACCAGACAGGCTCTGGATATGGGGGGGTACCAAGCTCCCCGGGGCCATGCCTCCACAGCTCTCTTCTCACCTCATTCTTGACCATTTCCCAAACCTCTGACCTCACCTTCATTCATCCATGGTGAACACGCTAAAGCTGGCCTTCAAAGCTTGAGACAGAGGAAAATTGGGCTTCATCTCTGGGAACTAAATTGGGGAGTGGAGACTCAGTTCTGGCCTGACAGGAGGGAGAAGACCCTGGATCCCAGTGTGGATGGGAAGAAGTATGTGTTTCTCTTTTGTGCTTGGACCCTGTGTCCAAGCATGTCTGAGATGTGATGAAGATGAATCTTCCTTTCCTTGTCTATTTTCTCATGCCAGAGAATTGGAATCTTATATTCCATTAACTCTTTCTGTTCTGTTCATCCAGATTCTATGAAGGAGAAAGGAAAAGATGTGATACTGTAATTTTGCTCCATTTGTCTAAAATGAGTAGGCTGCAACTCCTCTTGAAGTGATACCTTTTCTAGCTCTTGTTGGAGGTGTCTCAGGACTCATTACTTCGGGGAACCTGCAACTGTGTCAGTCTGGGGAAACTGCAAATATTCTTGTCTTACATTTGTCTCCAGCCAATTGTGATGGACTCCAGTGACCTGCAATTGCTGTTATTGCAGGTAAAATGTACCTGAGTCAGGCCACAGTTCTCCTGGACTATGAGCCCCTGGCCATGTTCCTGAGGCAATTCTGTTCATCTAAATATAATAATAATAACACACTAAAAATGGCAAGCCATTGTTAATTCCTGAAGTCTCATTTGAAAATTACTAAATGTCTGTTATTTTTTGGTGTTTACATTATATGTAGACAGATAAACTACACACACACACACACACACACACATGCACACAGAAGAATGGATTGGTTCATGTAGAAAAGTAAATAATTCAAGATGAAAGGATGAAATGTCATGGCACCTACTATTCTATTTTAGATAAAGGGTCTATGAAAAGATTGATTTCTTTTTATGTTTTATTTGTTGACATTTGAACACAAACTATGTAAGTGAGGGAGTCGATTTGAAAGGGAGAAGAGCAAGTTCAAACACATTCAGGTGAGGTCATGCTTTACATGTTTTAATTGAAATGATCCATCTTGGGAGTAGATCAATAACTGAGATGGTGCCAGGAATGTTAAAAAGCTTTTGTCAGTCCTAAATATTGACAAATAAAATTTAATTAAAGTCTTAGAAGAAAACACAAAGGAAAACTTCACAACATCGGATTTGGCAGTGATTCTTTAGATGTGACAACAACGGCACAGGCTACTACAGAAAAAATAAACAAGTTAGACTTTATGAAAATTTTGAAATATTGTGACTCAAAAGACAACATCAGTTACTTCACATGGCAAGGAAAAAGAACTTTTAAGACGATATTATCAAAGTAAAAAGACAACCCACAGAATGGGAGAAAATGTTTTCAAACCACACCACCTGTAAGGGATTAACATCCAGAATATACAGACAACTCCTAAAACTCAATCACAATAAACTCAATTCAAAAATGGGCAAAGTACTGAAACAGACATTTCTCCAAAGAACATACGCATGAAAAGATATTCAGCATCACGAATCATTAGGGAAATACTAACTAAAACTACACCAGATGCCATTTCATACCCCTTAGGATGGGTATCATCAAAACAACAACAACAACAACAACAAAGTTTCTATACATTAACAACAAACTATCCAAAAAAGTTTACAAGAAAATAAGCCCATTTGCAATAACTACAGAAAACAAAACATGCAGGAATAAATTCACCCAAGGAGTAGAAAGATCTGTATGCAAAAGCTATAAAACATTGATGAAAAAACTCAAGAAATAAACAAATAAATCGAAAGATATTCCATGTTCACGGATCAGAAGGATTAATGTTGTTAAAATGTCCATTCTATCCAAAGTGATTCAATGCAACCATTATCAAAAATCCAATGACATTTTTTTTACAGAAATAGAAAAAACAGTCCTAAAATTCATGTGGAACCACAAAAGATCTCAAATAACCAAAGCCATCTAGAGGGAAAGGAACAAAGTTGGAAGAATCACATTACCTAAACACAAACTACATTACAAAGTTACAGTAATTAAAACAACACAGTACTTGCATAAAAACAGACACATAGACCAATGGAAGTGATTCATAGCCCAGGAAAAAAAATGCACGCATTTAGGGTCAAACAATTTTTGGGATGTATCAAGAACACACAATGGAGAAGGAACAGTCTCTTTAATAAATGGGATTGGGAGACATGCAGAAGAATGGAAGTGGACATTTGCCTCACAAAACATACAAAGTCAACTCAAGATAGATTAATGACTTAAATGTAAGATGAAAGACTATCATCCCAGCAATTTGGGAGGCCAAGGCGGGCAGATCACCTAAGGTCAGGATTCCAAGACCAGCATGGCCAACATGGTGAAATCCCGCCTCTACTAAAAATACAAAAACAGCTGGGTGTGGTTGTGGGTGCCTGTAATCTCAGCTACTCGGGAGGTTGAGACAGGAGAATCACTTGAACCCAGGAGGTAGAGGTTGCAGTGAGCCGAGATCGCACCACTGCACTCCAGCCGGGGCAACAGAGTGAGACTCCATCTTAAAAAAAAAAAAAAACTACTAAAAGAAATCAAGGGAAAACTCCACTGGCTTGGGCAAAACCATTTTGGATATTAACCCAAAGGCCCAGGCAACAAAAGCAAAAGTAGACAAATAACATTATATCAAATTGAAAGTTTCTGCAAAGAAAAAAAAAAACTCAACAAGTGGAAAGACAACCTATGGAATGGGAGAATATATTTGCACCCATACATCTAATAAGGAATTAATATCCAAAATATATAAGAAACTCAAACAACTCAATGGTAAGAAATCAAATAACCCAACTTAAAAAAATGGGCAAAGTATCTGAATAAACATTTCTAAGAATAAGACAAATCACCAAAAGGTATATGAAAAAATGATTAGCATTACTAAACATCAGCTAAATAAAAATTAAAACTAGAATGAGATATCACCTCACACCTCTTAGAATGACCATTAACAGTCTGGGCATGGTGGCTCATGCCTGTAATTCAGGCACTTTGGGAGGCCGAGGCAGGGAGATTACCTGAGGTCAGCAGTTCGAAACCAGCCTGGCCAATATGGTGAAATCCCATCCCTACTAAAAATACAAAAATTAGCAGAGTTTGGTGGCGCACACTTGTAGTCCCAGCTACTCTGGAGACTGAGGCAGGGGAATCGCTTGAACCCAGGAGGCAGAGGTTGCAGTACACCGAGATTGTGCCACTGCACTCCAGCCTGGGTGACAGAGCAAGACTGAGTCTCAAAAAAAAAAAAAAAAAGACCATTATCAAAAACATAAAAAATAACAAGGGTTAACGAGGATGTGGAGAAAAGGGAACATTTGTATGCAGTTGATGGGAATGTAAATTAGCACAACCATTATGGAAAACAGTCTGGAAGTTCCTGAAAAAATTAAACATAGAATTCCCATATGTGTCTGCAATCCAACTACTGCGCATGTATCCAAAGGAAGTGGAATCAGTATGTTGAAGAGATATCTGCATTCCCATGTTTACAGCCGCATTATTCATAACAGCCAAGATGTGGAATCACCCTTACTGCCCATCTATGGGTGCATGGACAAAGAAAACGTGGTATACGATAGGAACGTAATGAAGTACTATACAACCTTTACAACAAAGAAGGAAGTCCTCTCATTTGTGACAATGTGAAAAAACTTAGAGGACATTATGTTAAGGGAAACAATCCAGGCACAGAAAGACAAATGCCACATGATCTCATGTGTGGAGTGTAAGAAGTGGAACCTAGAGGAACAGTAAAATGGTCGTCGAAAGAACCTGGGAAGGAGAGAGATTGAAGAGATGTTGGTCAAAGGATGCAAAATTTCAGTTAGAAGAAATCGGTTCAAGAGATCTATTGTATGTCTTGGTGACTCCATTTAATAGCAACATATGGTGTACTGAACATTACTAAGAGATTAGATTTTACATGTTCTCACCACACACACAAAACATACAAGTATGTGAAAAAATAAATAGATAAAGAGGTTGTTTCATCCATTCCACAATGTGTACCTATATGAAAACATCATGATGGACACCACAAATACCCTTTTCCTCATTAATTAAATTTGTTTTGGCTTTTTTTTTGAGACGCAGTTTCACTGTTGTTGCCCAAGCTGAGGTGCAATGGCGTGATCTCCGCTCACTGCAACCTCTGCCTCCCAGGTTCAAGCGGTTCTCCTGACTCAGCCTCCCAAGCAGCTGGGACTACAGTTGCGTACCACCCCGTCCGGCTATATTTGTGTTTCTAGTAGAGACAGGGTTTCGCCATGTTGGCCAGGCTGGTCTCGAACTCCAGACCTCAGGTGATCCACCCGCTTCGCCCTCCCAAAGTGCTAGATTTCAGGCTGAGACACCACACCCAGCCTGTACATTGACTTTCTGCCCTTAAACTGTGCTGAAGTTTGTTTCTCAGATGTAGGAGCCTTTGGGCAGAGACTATGGGGTTTCTAGGTATAGAAATTATCTCATCTTCAAACAGAGGTAATTTGACTACCTCTCTCTGCTACTCTCTTCTTACTTGGATGCCTTATAATTCTTTCTCTTTCCTGATGGCTCTGTCTAGGACTTCAAGTACTATGTTGAATAGGATGGTGAGAGTGGGCATTCTTGTCTTGTTTCACTTATGAAGGGAACTTCTTCCAGCTTTTACTCATTCAGTATGATGTTGGTTGTGGGTTTGTCATAGGCGGCTCTTATTATATTGAGTTATGTTTCTTCAATGCTTAGCTTGTTGAGGGCTTTTAACATGAAGAAATGCTTAGTAAAAAGTATGTTCTACATGTGTGTTGAGAAGATCATGTGGTTTTTGTTTTTAGTTTTGTTTAGGTGATGAATCACATGTATTGATTGTGTATGTTCAACCAACCTTGCACCCTAAGAATAAAGTTGACTTGATCATGGTGGATTCACTTTTTGATATGCTGCGGGATTCAGTTCTTAGTATTTTTTGTGGATTTTTGCATCTATGCTCATCAGGAATATTGGCATGTAGTTTTCTTTTGTTTAATATTCTTTTCTGTCTTTAGTATCAGGGTGATGCCAGCCTTATAGAATGAGTAAAGGCCACCCTGGGCAAACAGTGAGACCCATCCCTTTTTAAAAATTATGAGTTTTACAAATTTAAAATGCATAGTGAAAAAGTTCTTACAAACTCCAGAAAGGTAGGTGTAAATAAGAGACATTTGTAAGAATGACAGCACATTAAATGTGTAGATTTCAACCTTCAGTTATTGCAATATTCCAGTATCAAGTTGGAGGATGTTATCAGTCTGATATTTTTTCCTCAAATGAGAGAGAGAAAGAAAGACACACAAACAACACAGGGAGAAAAAAAGCACACGTTACAGAGAGACAAAAAGGGAGACAGGGAACTGTGAATTTGGACTCTTGTGTCATAAGACAAATTCTAGATAACACGACCAGACCTTCAATTGACATATTGTGTTTTTGCTAATAAGGTGGAATTCTATGATGCGAAATAACTATATAGTCTTTTCTACTGGGATTTAAATCATTTTATCTGTTTCTGGCTTAACAGGAAAAATACAACCATGGAAAATTATGATGATTTATTTAATACGATTGCTCTATAGTGTTAATAAAACCTATTAGGTATTTTGCATATTACATATCAAGGAGAGTTTGAATCTCAGGTAGAAACAAAAAAAAATACATCAAAAGTTCCTCATGTGAGTGCAGAATTCAATCGTCCCGTGCAGGGGTAAGTGAGTCTGAGATGTGTTTTGAGCCTGGCCGTTGCGCATGATGTGAAGTGACAAGTCTAGTCTGCAGTTTTCAGAAACCCTCATTCCTCCCTTGACTGATTCACCACTTGAACCTCATATGACGTAGAAGAAGCCTACCTATGTCCCCTTCACATGTTGTGGTCAATGTGTCAACTGCACGATCCGGGCCCCTCACCACATCCTCTGCACCGGTCAGTCGAGCCGAGTCACTGCGTCCTGGCAGCAGAAGCTGCACCATGTCCATGTCACCCACGGTCATCATCCTGGCATGTCTTGGTGAGTCCTGGAAGGGAAGGAGCACCAGGGTTACACTATGGGCCTGCAGATTGGGTGTCTCCCCAGCAGAGAGCCATGTTCTGAAGCAAGTGAGTGGTGAGGATGAGTTAATTTTCAGTCCAGCGTGGCGCCCAGTGGCTCAGGAGGAAAGGGTAGGTTGCTGCCGAGATGAATAGTTCATCATGATCTTTCTTTGCAGGGTTCTTCTTGGACCAGAGTGTGTGGGCACACGTGGGTGAGTCCTTCCCCAAATGATGGGTTGCCATCTTCACCCCAATACAAGTGAATTTTCCGGAAATGGGAGGGAGGCAGCACAGAGGGTGGGCTGATGGGCTGACCATGGGAAGGCCTGGGGGGAGTCTCTCATGAACTAGTAAGAGGAGATCCTGGGAGTCTCTCATGAACTAGTAAGAGGAGATCCTGGGAGTCTCTCATGAACTAGTAAGAGGAGATCCTGGGAGTCTCTCATGAACTAGTAAGAGGAGATCCTGGTATGCTCAGCCTTCTGTTTTGTCTTAGCCCTCCCCAGCCTTTCTTCCCCATGGCTGAGTTGAGCTCTGTGTGGCCCAGGCGGGATACTGAGGTGCTCAAAGCTGGGGTGTGTGGGGGGATGTGGTGTCACCGACAGAGGAGGGAAGGGTAGCAGTGTTAGGAACAGCAGGTCCTCTGAGGACAAGAGGGTAACTCACACCCTCCAGCGTTTCCATGACGGTAGGGGCTGCAGTGTGGCTGCTGTCATTCTGCCAGAAGAGGTGGGGGAACCACAGCCACGACCCTGCCATTCCAAATCCTCTGATGGAGCTCAGTTGTTTATTGTGGTTCAGGCATTAGCTAATATTCCATTCACAAAGGTCATACCCTCCACCCCATGTCTACTTTGTGTTGTTTGGTGTAACTAATCTTGCAGTATTAAAATCTAGTAAGAGTCCCTTACTCAGCACCTGCTCAGTTCTCAACTGACACTTTTGTTGTAGGGAGACGCCACGTCTATGCGGGATGGGTCCTTCCTGTAGCCCCAGGCACCCAGGTGTGGTAGGAGCCTTAGAAAGAAGAAATGGGGAGAATCTTCTGAGCACAGGGAGGGAGGGGCAGCTCAACATACTCCTCTCTGAGGCGGCATCTCCTTCTCCCCAAGGTGGTCAGGACAAGCCCTTCTGCTCTGCCTGGCCCAGCGCTGTGGTGCCTCAAGGAGGACACGTGACTCTTCGGTGTCACTGTCGTCGTGGGTTTAACATCTTCACGCTGTACAAGAAAGATGGGGTCCCTGTCCCTGAGCTCTACAACAGAATATTCTGGAACAGTTTCCTCATTAGCCCTGTGACCCCAGCACACGCAGGGACCTACAGATGTCGAGGTTTTCACCCGCACTCCCCCACTGAGTGGTCGGCACCCAGCAACCCCCTGGTGATCATGGTCACAGGTCAGAGGGCTCCTGTCTGGGCTTCTCCTTGTCCCACCTCCTGAGTCCCAGAGCTTCTGGTGGGGGTGTCCACCAGAGTCCGATCATCCAGGCCCCAACTATATTTGGGGTAAAGGGGGATTGAATACAGGGGAATGGGTGCTGTGTTGGAAAGAATAACTGTCCCCATCGATGGCCACATTGTAATCCTTGGAGCCTGTGACTATGTTATAGGGCAGGGGACTGAAGGGGAAGATGGAGCTCAGGTTGTTGATGAGTTGACCTTGAGATGGGGAGATGGCCTGGACCCTCCCACTGGGCTCAGTGTAATCACAAGGGTCCATATGAGTGGAGAAGGAAGAGGAGAATGGGGATTAGAGCAGCATCGTGGGATACTCCACCAGCCACTGTGGGCTTTGAAGGTGGAGGAAGACCACGAGCCACGAAGGGGCTGGAGAAATCAATGGAACTGATTCTCCCGAGTCTCCAGAGGGAATGCAGCCCTGCAGATGCCTTGATTGTAGCCCAGGAAGAACAGGGTCTGATTTCTGTCTCCAGAAGTGGAAGGGGTCAGTGTGTTCTCTCCTGCCGCCATGTTTGTGATAATTTTCTCCAGCAACAACAGGAAACCAACACAGGAACCCAGGTGAAGGACAAGTTAAAAAACCAAACAAGAAGGTTGGCTACCCTGAGATCAGCAAGGGTGCACTGCTGATGCCACCACCAGGCTGGAACCACATAGGGAGGGATCGACAGGAAGAGTTGGGGGTGGAGGGTGAGAGAGAGAGAGAGAGAGAGAGCACTAGGCCATAGAGCAGGGCAGTGAGTTCTCAGCTCAGGTGGGAGGGGAGCTGTGACAAGGAAGAACCTCCCTGAGGAAACTGCCTCTTCTCCTTCCAGGTCTATATGAGAAACCTTCGCTTACAGCCCGGCCGGGCCCCACGGTTCGCGCAGGAGAGAACGTGACCTTGTCCTGCAGCTCCCAGAGCTCCTTTGACATCTACCATCTATCCAGGGAGGGGGAAGCCCATGAACTTAGGCTCCCTGCAGTGCCCAGCATCAATGGAACATTCCAGGCCGACTTCCCTCTGGGTCCTGCCACCCACGGAGAGACCTACAGATGCTTCGGCTCTTTCCATGGATCTCCCTACGAGTGGTCAGACCCGAGTGACCCACTGCCTGTTTCTGTCACAGGTGAGGAAAGCCAATGTCTGTCCCATGTCCTATGGTCCTAGAGCCTTAGCTGAGGAGCTTCCTGCTGATGATGGAGAGAAGCATGGACAGATGTGGAGAGAAGATGCAGCATGGTGTGAGGGTGGGATCAGGGCACAGGATGGCAGACAGGGCACCTCCAAACCCTCCTGCATGGCCTGCATGGAAGCTTGCAGTAAGGGCTCCGGGTACCCAGGCAGATGGAGAAAGTGGTCAGGACAGACCCAGAGGAGGGAGACTGGGCTCAGTTTGGGGAGATCAGAGGTTCCCTCAGCCCCTCAACCTTACCCATTTCCCAGAAGCCCACCCTGGCCTCTCACCTACACAGAGATGTCATCACCAGCAACCCCTACACTTTTTCTTTTCCTTTGAAAAAATGCTGATTGAGGTTAAATATACCTATATAATTTATCAACTTTACCATTTTTAAGTGTAAAATCTAGGGATCATAAATACCTTTATATGCTGTGTGCAGTGGCTCACGCCTGTAATCTCAGCATTTTGAGACGCCAAGGCAGGTGGATCATTTAAAATCAGGGGCTGGAGACCAGCCTGGCCAACATGGGGGAACCAATCTTTACTAAAAAGACAAAAAAAATAAAATTAGCCAGGCATGGTGCCAGGCGCCTATAATCCCAGCAACTTGGGAGGCTGAGGCGGGAGAGTGGCTTAAACCCAGGAGGAGGAGGTTGCAGTGAGCTGAGATCATGCCACTGCACTGCAGCCTGGTGACACAGAGAGACTCTGTCTCTAAATAAATAAATAAATACTTTTATATTCTTCTTTTGTTACCCTCCACCCCTTCCTTCCTAACCTCTGGTATCCACCATTCTACTCTCTACCTTCATGAGGTCCACCTTTTACATCCTGCATGTGAGTAAGAAATGGCAATCCTTGTAATGACCTCCAGTCCATCCATGTGGCTGCAAATGACAGGACGTTTCTCTTTGTATGGATGAGTTGTCTCCATTGTGTGTATGTACTACATTCTCTCTATCCATTCATCCACTGATGGGCAGGTAGGTTGACTCCACATCTTGGCTACTGTGAACAGTGCTGGAACAGTCATGGGAGTGCAGATGTCACTTCAATACACTGAAGTCCTTTTCTTTGCATTTACACCCACTAGTGGAATTGCTAGATCCTCTGGATGTTCTCTTTTTAGGTTTTGTTTTATGCTTTTTGTTTTTTTGACATAGCGTTTCACTCTTGTTGCCCAAGCTGGAGTGCAATGGCACCACCTGGGCTCACTGCAACCTCTACCTCCAGGATTCAAGTGATTCTCCAGCCTCAGCCTCCCGAGTAGTTGGGATTACTGGTGCCCGCCACCACGCCTGGCTGATTTTTGTATTTTTAGTAGAGACGGGGTTTCACCATGTTAGCCAGGCTGGTCTCGAACTCTTGACCTCCAGTGATCTGCCCACTTCAGCCTCCCAAGGTGCTGGGATTACAAGCGTGAGCCACAGTGCCTAATCTCTTTTTAGTTTTTAAGGAACTTCCATATTCTTCTCCTCTGTAATGGCTGTATTAATTTACATTCCTATCAACAGTGTATCAGGGTTCTCCTTTCTCCACCACCTTGCCAACATTTGTTTTGTCTGTCTCTGAGATAAAACCCATTGTAATGGGGTGAGATGATAGCTCATTGTGACTTCATTTGCATTTCTCTGATGATTAGTGATACTGAGCACTTTTTCATATATGCAATGTATATATGTTCATTTGTATGTTTTGTTCATTGAGAAATGTCTGTTCAGGTCTTTTACTAATTTTATAATTAAATTATTAGTTTTATTGAGGTGTTTGAGCTTCTTTTATATTCTAGTTATTAATCCCATCTCAGATGCATAGTTTGCAAATATTTGCTCCCATTCTGTGGGTTGTCTCTTCTTCACTTCATTGGTTGCTTCCTTTGCGGTGCAGAAGCTGCTTGATTTGATATAATCCCAATGGTCTATTTTTTTGTTGTTGTTGTGATTACTTGTGTTTTTGAGGTTTTAAACAAAATGTCTTCCCTCAGACAAATGTCCTGGAGCATTTCTCCAGTGTTTCCTTTTAGACATTTAATGGATTCAGGTCTTAAGTCATTAATCCATTTTCATCTGATTTTTGTGTATGGTGAGAGGTAGAGGTGCAGTTTCATCCCTCTGCATGTAGATATCCAGTTTTCCCTGCACCATTTATTGAAATGACTGTCCTTTCCAGATTGTAGATTCTTCGAACCTTTGTCAAAGTCCATTGGATGTAAATGGGTGGATTACATCCGTGTTCTTCATTCTGCTCCATTGTTTTATGTGCTTTTCTTTATGCCAATGTCATGTTGTTTTGTTTACTACAGCTCTGTAACATATTTTTAAGTCAGGTAGTGTGATGCTCCTGTTTTCTCCTTATACCTTGAAGTCTCAAGATAGTTGGTGTCACCTACAATGATTATGGAGAATGGGATGCCAGGACTCCCAGGGCCCAACATTAGATAATAGAATGTTGGCCATGAACCAACCTCAAAGATTTCCATTGAGTAGAAGACAGGCATCCTCATTGCCACACCTCTCTCCTGTCCCATGTTCTAGGAAACCCTTCTAGTAGTTGGCCTTCACCCACTGAACCAAGCTTCAAAACTGGTAAGTGAAGGACCCCTCTTATCTCTGCTTTTGGAAACCTGGGGAGGTAGAAGCCTTGGATTCAAGCGTTGGCTCAGCACCTGCCAGCTCTGTGATTGTGGGCCTGTCTTCCATTGTCTCTGAACCCCAGACACTCCAACAGCGAAAGGGATCTGGGCCCAGCACAGGGCTCAGTGAAATCTCTTAATCTCTAATTTTCTGCTGCTGAGACCTCAGGGTAGAAGGATGAGTGCAAATCAGACATTCTTCTCAGGAAAAATGCTGTGTTTGTTCTGCCTGCATTCCTAACTGGGAGGACAAATGCCTGGGGGCTTGAGAAGGGGAAGGACGGGGAACATTTTTGAGGGTGGTGTATTTGTAGAGAAGTTCTACTTGCCAAGGAATGAGCTCCTGTCTGTCATGATCCAACCCTGGTTGACTTAGTGGAACAAGAGCTTTGCAGTAAGAGAGAACGTAGTTCATCCGTGCACATGACACTTCCACTTACTCGTTCAGCCACTGCCCCATGCTCAGACTGTGCAGTGTGGAACCTTTTCCTATGTTGCCATAACAAATTTCCACAAGCTTCGTGGATGGAAACCACATTTTTAAAAAATATCTCATGGTGCTGTAGCTCAGAAGTATGAAATGCATCATCTCACTGGGCTAAAATCAAGGTGACAGCAAGGCTGCCTTCCCTCTGAATGTTCCAGGCAAGAATCTGCTTCCTCACTTTTCCCAGCTCCTAGAGGCTCCCACATTCCTTGGCTCCTGGTCCCCGTCTTCCTCCCTCAAAGTCCACAAAGGCTGGTCACGCCTCTCACACGGCATCACTCAGACCCTTCTTCCTTGTCCACACCTCTTTCTCTGAATGCTGCTCTGCCTTCTTCCTCATCTTTTAAGGACTTTGGCATTCTATTGGAAACACCAAGATAATCCATCATAATTTCCCTAAAATCATCTAGGATACCCTCCTTTTAAGGTTAGCTGATTAGCAACCGTAATTCCATCTGCAATCTGCATTCCTTTTTTCCATGTAAAATAACATATTCACAAGATATGGCGACTAGGACAGGAACATTTTGGGGTGGGGCGGCATTCTTATCCTTTCCACAAATGGTAAACAAGGTGCATTTGGCCTCTGCTCTTGGACACTGATATTGCAAAGGATTAAATGGGAGGGCAGAAAATGAATGCACCAGTGGACCAATAAATGAATGATCCATTGGGAAGCATCTGTGCATGAGAATGATTGATTGATTGGTTGTTTTTATGAGACGGTGTCTCCCTCTGTGCCCCAGGCTGGAGTGCAGTGGCGGGATCTCGGCTCACCGCAACCTCCACCTCCCAGGTTAAAGCGATTCTCTACACTCAGCTTCCCGAGAGGCTGGGATTACACCCATGTCCCACCACGCCTGGCTAATTTTTTTTTGGTATTTTTTTTTAGTACAGACAAGGTTTTACCATGTTGCCCAGGCTATCTCAAACTCCCAACCTTAAGGGATCCGCCCGTCTCAGCCTCCCAAAGTGCTGAGATTAGAGGCGTGAGCCAAGGCGCCGAGCCGTATTTTAAAAGAAATAATAGATAATGCTGAGTGTATAATTTCGGGTGACAGAGAAGTTCTCACTGATCAAATAATACTTGTGACCTTAATGAAAAAAATAGATCAACCCCTGGAAGATTGGCGGAAGGATTTTCCACACAGCTGTCAGCCGTGAAGGCACAAAGGTGAAAACAATGTTATGTGGAAGGAAGAGGCTCTGCCTGAAATGCTGGGAATGACATGGGGAGAATGACAAGACGACTGTGGAGAGACAGAGAGCACTCTGGGTACACAGGAAACTAAGGAGGAACAAGGAGCGTGTGTTTGATACTCACAGCCATTGGACTTACCTCGGGGCTAACTGGGAATCCCTACATGATGAATAGTGACTGACATGAAAATAAGGGAGGCCCAGGTGCATAACTGGAATCTAGGAGACTGTGGAAAAGGCAATTCCCGCCCCCCTGGTGAAATGTGGTGCTGATTTAGACACTAAATGAATGAAAGATGGACACAAGATGTGTTTGTGAGGTAGAGTAATTTGCAGGGAGGGCTTGCCTGGTTTGATTTTTCCTAATTGTTTAATCTTCACTTCATTGATTTCTTTCTGAGATTTATTTTTCCTACATGTAAATCAATACTTGGCAGAGGAGTGAGAGATACATGAGGGGTGGTGCAAAGGAAGAGACCTATTATAATATAACACACAAGGTTCTGAACGGTGGCTCACACCTGTAACCCAACATTTTGGGAGGCTGAGGAGGCTGGATCAAGTGAGATCAGGAGTTCGAGATCAGCCTGGACAACATGGTGAAACCCCATCTCTACTAAATATACAAAAACTAGCTGGGGGTGGTGGCGCGTGCCTGTAATACCAGCTATTCGGGAAGTTGAAGAAGGAGAATGGCTTCAACCAGGGAGGGAGAGGTTACAGTGAGCCAAGATCGCGTCATTGCACTGCACCCTAGGTGACAGAGTGAGACTCCATGGCAAAAAATAAAAATAAAGAATACATAAATATAATATAACATACACGAATGACAAAGGCACACCAATTCCAATCATCATTTTTCTATTTCTCTATAATGACTTCTTTGATCCTTTATCCTATCCGTAAGAAAATCAGGCGAAAACATCTTCCTTATTTGGCTTTCTGTGAGCATGAGATCATATGGAAAATGTGAAACCCACCAGCACAGGTCCTGGAATAGAGAACGTGATCTGTTCATGGCACAAAACTTGCCCCTTCACCCAAATCCCCCACCTCACCCCTACTTCCAATCACATTAATGATACAGATAGATCATGGGGAGGTAAAAACTAATATTCTTTGGAGTTCAGATCGTAGACTCAGAGACCAGTGCCAGCACTATCTCCTGGTCACCTTTTGGAGTAATTCACAGAAAGACAGGCTGTATTGAAGCAACAGATGATGGAGGGGGTGGTCTTTCCCCCAGACTCTCGGGTGGAACAGCAGCCTAATATCTGACTCCCAAGATGACAAAAGTAGCATGTTGCCCACGAGCTTCATCATTATTTCCTGGCTGTTTGATATAAGACAGCTCAACCTCACTTATGTTGATTTCAATGTCACTGTTTTTTCCTTTTCTTGGAGAATGTAATTTGTTTGAGTCAAGAGGGTTGTGGATGTAGAAACTGTAAAGCACATTCACTGTGTATCAATCCCAGTCCAGTCTTCCCAGAGAAGACTCTAAACACCTCCCATACTGCACCTGGGGCTGTGCCAATTTCTATCACTCACCATCACTCCAGGGAGACAGAACACACAGGGAATACATTACATAGGCAGGTTCATTACTTATAGATAAGCAGCGAGTGACAACAGAAACCTTCCTTTCAGGGTGAGCCAGTCCCTCAAGGCTCAGAAAAACTGCTCAGGACACATGGAGTCACTTCATGTGCACTGTAGCTGGGGGAAGCCAGAAAGCAGCCCAGCCTGGGTTTTGTACCCTGGAGCCACAGGGAACACTCAGCTAAAGCACTGCATGATGTTCTCCTCCAGGAAGAACAGGAAGACAGCCCAGGCTGTTCTGAGACGTTCCTCCTGATCTCAGGATGTTGCTGTCTTAGCCTATTTTTGTTGCTATAAAAGAACACTTGAGCCTGGGTATCTTCTAAAGAAAAGAGATGTGTTTGGCTCACTGATCTGCACGCTGTACTAGAAGCAGGACACTACCATCTATTTCTGGCTGCGGCCTCAGGCTGCTCCCACACTGACAGAAGAGAAGGGGGTCCTGCGTGTGCAGAGACCACAGAGATCACATGGCAAGAGAGGGAGAAAGGGGGTGTGATGGAGCTTCCAAGCTCTTTTTAAGAATCAACTCTCCAGGGTACTAATAGAGGGAGAACTTGCTAACCCCGTCCTCTGGGGACAGCATTAATCTATTCATGATGGATCCACCCCCATGACCAAAACACCCCTCCCAATAGGCACAACCTCCCACACTGGGGATTAAATTTCAAAGTGGGGTTTGGAGGGGTCAAACATTGAAACAATAGCAGTTGTATCATCAGCACATTCTATTGTTATTATGAAAACTATAACGGAGAAAGCAGGAGAAAGCTGGGTCTCCCGCCTCGTGGGTGCTTGTCTTAAAGAGGTGTTTTATGTGGTTGCCTGGCAACCAAGAAATGAGAGACAATCCACAAAGAGGAACTGCTATGGTTAGCTTCTTATTGGATTCCCATCTTCCTCCAGGTATCGCCAGACACCTGCATGCTGTGATTAGGTACTCAGTGGCCATCATCCTCTTTACCATCCTTCCCTTCTTTCTCCTTCATCGCTGGTGCTCCAAAAAAAAAGTAAGCCTCACGAAGCAGAGGCCAGAGAACTCAGGGCCCTGTGCGGAAGCAGGATGGGAGCACGCAGGTGTGTGTTCCTCACTGGCAGGAAAGTCTCTGGCCCAAGGCAGGAGCCAGAGGCAGAGCTTTCTAGAGAGAGCACCAGACACCCTGCCCCTGCCTTCAGCTCACAGACCGTTGCCTGATTGTGAACTGTATCCTCACGTCCCCTGCAGCCACTCACATCCAGGAGAAGATTCCATGACAGGCAGAAAGTGGGAGATAGAATCAATGGGATGGGAACTGACAGCTATTCATGGAATGGGGTCTTGCACTCAGAGAGATGGAATGTCTGAGTCTGGCTGTTGGCAGCTGAGGGACCTCAGGCACCTATGGCCTCCCCCTGTGTGTTGGTATCTGTTCATGAAATGAGGACCCAGAAGTGCCCTCCCAGCTGTTTTGATTGCTTCCGTCTCCTACAGATGCTGCTGTAATGAACCAAGAGCCTGCGGGACACAGAACAGTGAACAGGGAGGTAGGTCCTCCTAGCCCAGCCTCATGGATACAGTCTTATTCCGAAATAGTCCTGAAAAATGTGAACACCCTCCCTCACTCAGGATTTCCCTCTCTCCAGGACTCTGATGAACAAGACCCTCAGGAGGTGACATACGCACAGTTGGATCACTGCATTTTCACACAGAGAAAAATCACTGGCCCTTCTCAGAGGAGCAAGAGACCCTCAACAGATACCAGCGTGTGTATAGAACTTCCAAATGCTGAGCCCAGAGCGTTGTCTCCTGCCCATGAGCACCACAGTCAGGCCTTGATGGGATCTTCTAGGGAGACAACAGCCCTGTCTCAAACCCAGCTTGCCAGCTCTAATGTACCAGCAGCTGGAATCTGAAGGCGTGAGTCTCCATCTTAGAGCATCACTCTTCCTCACACCACAAATCTGGTGCCTGTCTCTTGCTTACCAATGTCTAAGGTCCCCACTGCCTGCTGCAGAGAAAACACACTCCTTTGCTTAGCCCACAATTCTCTATTTCACTTGACCCCTGCCCACCTCTCCAACCTAACTGGCTTACTTCCTAGTCTACTTGAGGCTGCAATCACACTGAGGAACTCACAATTCCAAACATACAAGAGGCTCTCTCTTAACACGGCACTTAGACACGTGCTGTTCCACCTTCCCTCGTGCTGTTCCACCTTTCCTCAGACTATTTTTCAGCCTTCTGGCATCAGCAAACCTTATAAAATTTTTTTGATTTCAGTGTAGTTCTCTCCTCTTCAAATAAACATGTCTGCCTTCATTCTTTAGGTGACTCTTTTTTTGGCTGAAAGTTTCCAGTGTTATCATTACCATGTCCAAATAACTCCAACTGTTCTCCACTGGGTTCTCACCCCTGGACTCGGAGCTTCTGGAAGCAGGGTGGAGCCTGATTTGTCTCTGAGACTCCAATTTCCATCCAAAGATGCAGCACATAAGAGGTTCCAAGGATCGTGAATCACATGAACAAGTGATATTCTTACTCTCTGCAGACCTGGAAAGCTGGCAGAGTCATTCCATGATGAAACATTTGTAGAGTCATAGGCCTTGTTAGTCTCATCTCCACGGGGACACATATCAACACATCATCTTTCATACTATAAATATACAGTCGGTCCTCTGTATCTGTGGGATTTACAGGTGTTTATTGAACCAAATATAAATCAAAAATATTCAGAGAAAAAATCCACAAAGTTTCAAAAAGCAAAACTATGTTGAATGGACACAAATGAAGCTGTGTGTAGGCTGTATCAGGAATTATAAATAATCAAGGGATGATTTCATGTACACAGGAGGATGTGCATGGGTTATTTGCAAATGCTGTGCCATTTCATGTAAGAGGCTTGAGCGTCTGCAGATTGTGCTATCTGAGTGGAGATCCTGAAACCAATCACCCACGAATAGTGAGGGATGACTGTATATAATTTTTATTTCTCAATTTTAAATATAAAACATAAAAAAATTACAATAACAAGATAAAATAAACAAGTGTTTTATAGTGTGAGAATACGTTTAGATATATTTTTCTCTATGTGTAACCCTTGGGCCCATGTTATTTATTGAGAAGACATTCTATTCCACCTTAAACCACATGGCAGCCTTTGTCAACTATAAAGGGACTGTGTGTACACGGATGTATTTTAGACACTGTTTTCTGCTCAGTGGCTCTCTCTCTGTCCACTCTCTTGAGAATGCTGCATTTTATGCAGCCTTATACAACCCCTAAAATTTGGTAGCTGGAGTCCTCTAGTTATTTATTATAGGCTATTTGCTATGCTTTTTTTATTTTTCTTGAGGCAGAGTCTCGCTCTGTTGCCCAGGCTGGAGTGCAGTGGCACGATCTCGGCTCACTGCAACTTCCGCCTCCCAGGTTCAAGGGATTCCGTGCCTCAGCCTCTTGAATAGCTGGCATTACAAGTGCCTGCTACCAGGCATGGCTAATTTTTGTATTTTTAGCAGAGACATGGTTTCACTATATTGGCCAGGCTGGTCTCAAACTCCTGACCTCGGTTGATCACTCACCTCGGCTTCCAAAGTGCTGGGGAAATTGATTTTCTATAGCATTATGTTACTGGATATTTCTGTAAAATTTAAAATGAGGGAGGCAGAGAGACAGAGAGAGAGCAAACCATGAGTTGGAACTCTGGAATCTTGGGACATGAGACAAATTCTAGATAAATCTACAAAAATCCAGAATTTACATGTTGTGATTTTTGCTGATAAAGTACAATTCTAAGATTGTAAATAATTGCATAATCCTTCCCTGGGAGTTTAAATCATTTGAACTGGTTCTGCTGTAATACTAGAAATACAATCATGAAAAATTCTAATGGTTTATTGTCACAATTGCTCTGAAAACCTTAATAATACCTATTAGATATTTTGCATATTACACAGGAAGAAGAGTTTGAATCTCAGATAAAAACAATAAAAATACATGAAAAGTCTTTCATGTTAGCACAGATTTTAGGCATCTCATGTTCGGGAGGTTGGATCTGAGACGTGTTTTGAGTTGGTCATAGTGAAGGACGCGAGGTGTCAATTCTAGTGAGAGCAATTTCCAGGAAGCCATGTTCCGCTCTTGAGCGAGCACCCACTGGGCCTCATGCAAGGTAGAAAGAGCCTGCGTACGTCACCCTCCCATGATGTGGTCAACATGTAAACTGCATGGGCAGGGCGCCGAATAACATCCTGTGCGCTGCTGAGCTGAGCTGGGGCGCAGCCGCCTGTCTGCACCGGCAGCACCATGTCGCTCATGGTCGTCAGCATGGCGTGTGTTGGTGAGTCCTGGAAGGGAATCGAGGGAGGGAGTGAGGGGATGGAGATCTGGACCTGGAGGTAAAGATATGGGCCTAGAGGTGGAGTTATGGGCCTAGAGGTGGAGTTATGGGCCTGAAGTGGAGATCTGGGCCTGGAGTGGAGATCTGGGCCTGGAGTGGAGATAGGGGCCTGGGGTGGAGATATGTGCCTGGAGTGGAGATCTGGGCCTGGAGTGGAGATATGGGCCTGGGGTGGAGATATGTGCCTGGGGTGGAGAGATGGGCCTGGAGGGGAGATATGGGCCTGGAGGGGAGATGTGGGCCTAGAGGTGGAGTGATGGGCCTAGAAGTGGAGCGATGGGCCTGGAGTGGAGATATGGGCCTGGAGGTGGAGTTATGGGCCTGCAGTAGAGATATGGGCCTGAAGTGGAGATATGGGCCTGGAGTGGAGATATGGGCCTAGAGGTGGAGTTATGGGCCCGGAGGTGGAGTTAAGGGCATGAAGTGGAGATCTGGGCCTGGAGTGGAGATATGATCCTGGAGTGGAGATATGGGCCTGGGGTGGAGATACGGGCCTGGAGCAGACATACAAGCCTGGAAAGGAGATATGGGCCTGGAGAGGAGATAGAAGCCTGGAGTGGAAATATGGGCCTGGAGTGGACTTACCAGCCTGGAGAGGAGATATGGGCCTGGAGTTGAGATAGGAGCCTGGAGTGGAGATATGGGCCTGGAGTGGACTTACCAGCCTGGAGAGGAGATATGGGCCTGGAGTGGAGATACGGACCTGGAGTGGAGATCTGGGCCTGTTGTGTAGATCTAGGCCTGGAGGTAGAGATCTGGGCCTGGAGGCTCAGTCTCTGCACAGCCGAGATCCTTGTTCCTGGGGGCAGGTAGGCAGCGAGGGTGAGTTTACCTTCAGCCCAGCAAGGGCCTGGCTGCCAAGACGCACAGCCCAGTGGGGGCAGCAGGGTGCCCTGGTTTGCCTGCAGATGGATGGTCCATCATGATCTTTCTTTCTAGGGTTGTTCTTGGTCCAGAGGGCCGGTCCACACATGGGTGAGTCCTTCCCCAAACCTTAGGGTGTCATCTCCCCACATAAGAGGATTTTCCTGAAATGGGAGGGAAGTCCTGTCGGGGAGTCTCTCATACACTAGGAAGAGGGGACCCTCGGATGCTCGGCCCACATTTCTGACCTTGCCTTCCCCGGCCTTTCATTCCCTTTCCTGAGTCAAGCTCTGTGAAGACTGGGGTGAGACTAGGGTGCTCCAAGATGGGTGTGCAGGGAGGAAGTGGTGTCAGCAGCAGAGAAAGAGAGGGAAGCAGTGCTAGGAACAGCAGGTCCTCTGAGGACAAAGGTGTAACTCACACCCTCCAGCGTTTCCGTGATGGTAGGGGCTGCAGTGTGGCTGCGGTCTTTCTACCAGAAAAGGTGAGGAAACCACAGCCATGGCCCTGACATTCCAAATCCTCTGATGGGGGCTCAGTTCATCAATTGGCTGATATTCCATTCACATAGGACTTGCCCTCCATGCCGTGTCTACTTTGTGTTGTTTTATATGAGTAATTTTGCAGTATTAAAATCTAGTAAGAGTTGCTTCTCCAGCAACTTGCTCAAAGTTCTCAGCTGACACTTGTTGTAGGGAGACGCCAAGTCTATGCAGGATGGGTCCTTCCTGTAGCCCTGGGCACCCAGGTGTGGTAGGAGCCTTAGAAAGTGGAAATGGGGAGAATCTTCTGGGCACTGGGAGTGAGGGGCGGCTCCACATCCTCCTCTCTAAGGCAGTGCCTCCTTCTCCCCCAGGTGGTCAGGACAAACCCTTCCTGTCTGCCTGGCCCAGCGCTGTGGTGCCTCGAGGAGGACACGTGACTCTTCGGTGTCACTATCGTCATAGGTTTAACAATTTCATGCTATACAAAGAAGACAGAATCCACATTCCCATCTTCCATGGCAGAATATTCCAGGAGAGCTTCAACATGAGCCCTGTGACCACAGCACATGCAGGGAACTACACATGTCGGGGTTCACACCCACACTCCCCCACTGGGTGGTCGGCACCCAGCAACCCCGTGGTGATCATGGTCACAGGTCAGAGGCTTTCCGTCTGGGCTTCTCACTGTCCCACCTCCTGAATCCCAGAGCTTCTGGTGGGGGTGTCCGTCAGGGTCCCATCACCCAGGCCCTGACTGTATTTGGGGTCAAGGGAGATTGAATACAGGGGAAATGGGTGCTGTGGTGGGAAGAATCACTGTCCCCAATGATGGCTACATTGTAATCCCTGGAGCCTGTGACTATTTATGTTACAGGGCAGGGGACTGAAGGGGAAGGTGGAGCTCAGGTTGTTGATGAGTTGACCTTCAGATGGGGAGACAGCCTGGACTGTCCCACTGGGCTCAGTGTAATCACAAGGGTCCACATGAGAGGTGGAGGAAGAGGGGAGTGGGGATTAGAGCAGTGTAGTGGGAGGGAGACGCTATCAGCCACTGCGGGCTTTGAAGGTGGAGAAAGACCACTAGTCACAGAATGCAGGTGGCCTCTAAGGGCTGGAGAAGTCAAGAGAACTGATTCGCTGATTCTCCAGAGGGAACGCAGCCCTGTAGACACCTTGATTTCAGCACAGGGAGAACTGGATCCAATTTCTGTCTCCAGAAGTGGAAGGGGTCAGTGTGTTCTCTCCCGCTGCCATGTTTGTGGTAATTTTCTGCAGCAGCAACAGGAAACCAACACAGGAACCCAGGTCAAGGACAAGTTAGGAAACCAAACAAGGATAGCCAGATGTGGTGGTGGGCGCGAGTAATCCAACGACTGGGGAGGCTGAGGCAAGAGAATCACTTGAACTGGGGATTTGTTCAAAAGAGATTGATTCAGGCTGCTAAGAGCCTGGACATGCAGCCTGTCCTCTTCCACCCCCACATAGACAGCAGGAAAGAGATTAGTGGGAAACAGATACAACAGCCCAAGAGATGAGGCTGTCTTCACAGTGGCAAGGGAGTCAGGGGCTACTGGAGACAGAGGGACAGAGAAGAGGGAGGAAGACAGATGGAGGCACCTGCACCAGGGGATATGGGCACAGAAAAGACACGGAGATGCAGAGAGGGAGGAGAGAGACAGACACGGGGAGGGGAACCCTCACTCATTCCAGGTGCCATGGATGGGATGATAAAGAGAGATGCCTTCTAAACTCACAACTTCTCTTTCTAGGAAACCACAGAAAACCTTCCCTCCTGGCCCACCCAGGTCCCCTGGTGAAATCAGGAGAGAGAGTCATCCTGCAATGTTGGTCAGATATCATGTTTGAGCACTTCTTTCTGCACAAAGAGGGGATCTCTAAGGACCCCTCACGCCTCGTTGGACAGATCCATGATGGGGTCTCCAAGGCCAATTTCTCCATCGGTCCCATGATGCTTGCCCTTGCAGGGACCTACAGATGCTACGGTTCTGTTACTCACACCTCCTATCAGTTGTCAGCTCCCAGTGATCCCCTGGACATCGTGGTCACAGGTGAGAGTGTCTAGACATTGTTCTCATTGTCACTGGGACACAGAGTGAATGATCCAGGACTTGGAACCCCCAGGTGGTCATGAGGAAGATAAGTGTGGGATTCTTACGGAAAGAGAGTGACTTGGTGAGGTCTGTACCAACAGAGACAGAGAAACAGGAGACATAAGTACAGAACAGTTGTCATAACAGAGGACAGACACAGGGGCCATACAGGGAGGTAGAAAAGAGAGAAAGAGGTAAAGGAGACACTCAGACAGACAGACATGTCCCAGAGAGAGGTGTCCTTCCATGCTGACTTTGCTCAGAGACCTGGCACAGGTTAGAAGTTTCATTTCTGTTTTACCTCCACAAAGTGTTCCTACCAGAAGAACCCAAGGACACCCATATTTCTGACCTGAGTTGGGCCCTGTGGCCTCAGGCCTTGTGCCACCTACAGATGCCGTGTTTATTCTGACACCTCTGCCTTCCATGCAATGGAGAGTAATCATCCCAGGATATCATGGCCCCTGAACACCAACCCCTGTATGCTGTGTGAACTTGGGGTCCCCAGACTGGATTCTGAGGCTCATATTCCAAATAATCCCACATATGATAGGATCGCTGAGAGACACAGAGAAAAATCAGGGACACCAAAAAGCAAAGACATAAACACACACAAAATGAGCCAGAAGAAGGAGATTAAGAGATTCACAGACACATAAAAAGAAAGAAAAGAGGGCAGAGTGGAGAGAATGATGGAAAGGAGGAGAGAAAAGCCCCAAAATCAGAACCCTGAGGGAGGGACACAAAGACAGAGAAAGATAAATATGTGGGGATGGATTGCAGAGATTCCAAATAGAACTAGAGAGACTGAGAGGCAGAGAAAGACAAGGAGACGGAGAGAGAGAGATGATAGATGGATAGATAGACGTAGATAGATGATAAATAGGTAGATGATAGATAATGGATTGGTTATAGATACATAGATGATGACTGATAGATGATACATAGAGATGACGATGATGATGATAGACACATAGATATATACATAGATGATACATAAATAGAGACAGAGAGGCAGACAGAGAGGTAATAGAGAGAGAGATAGATGATACATATATAGATAATAGATGATTGATGGATAGATAGACAGACAGACAATTGATAGAGAGATAGATAAGTGATACATAAATATAGATGATAGATAATTTGTAGATAGACACAAAATAGATTAATAGATAGAAATGTGCAGAAAGTTATGAACAAGACAGAAAGTGAGAGACTCAAAATTAAAGAAAAAGGAAGATCAAGTCAACCAATCCAAGGAGGGTCAGAGAGAATAAAACAATCCAAAAAGGGAAAACATACCTCAGGGTGGGGAATTGAGGTCATAGACCTAGAGAGACAGAAAAGGTAGAAGGAGGAAACAGATATGAAGAGAGATGGGGTGGAGGGTGAGAGAGAGAGAGAGAGCATTAGGTCATAGAGCAGGGGAGTGAGTTCTCAGCTCAGGTATGAGGGGAGCTATGACAAGGAAGAACCTCCCTGAGGAAACTGCCTCTTCTCCTTCCAGGTCCATATGAGAAACCTTCTCTCTCAGCCCAGCCGGGCCCCAAGGTTCAGGCAGGAGAGAGCGTGACCTTGTCCTGTAGCTCCCGGAGCTCCTATGACATGTACCATCTATCCAGGGAGGGGGGAGCCCATGAACGTAGGCTCCCTGCAGTGCGCAAGGTCAACAGAACATTCCAGGCAGATTTCCCTCTGGGCCCTGCCACCCACGGAGGGACCTACAGATGCTTTGGCTCTTTCCGTCACTCTCCCTACGAGTTGTCAGACCCGAGTGACCCACTGCTTGTTTCTGTCACAGGTGAGAAAAGCCCATATCTCTCTCATGTCCTATGATCCTAAATCCTTAGCTAAGGAGCTTCCTGCTGATGATGGAGAAAAGCATGGACAGATGCAGAGAGAAGACACAGCAGGTGTGAGGGCGGAGTCAGGGCGCAGGATGGCAGACAGGGCACCTCCAAACCCTCCTTCATGGCCTGCATGGAGGCCTCCGATCAGGGCTCCAGGCACCCAGGCAGATGGAGAAAGCGGTCAGGACAGACCCAGAGAAGGGGAGACTGGGCTTAGTTTCGGGAGATCAGAGGTTCCCTCAGCCCCTCAATCTTATCCATTTCCCAGAAGCCCATCATGGCCTCTCACCCACACAGAGAGATGTCATCACCAGCAACCCCTACACCCTTTTCTTTTCATTTTCAAAAATATTTATTGAGGTTAAATGTAACTATATAATTTACCACCTTTACCATTTTTAAAAGTAAAATCTAGTGGTCATAAATACCTTTATATGCTGGGTGTGGTGGTTCACGGTTGTAATCTCGGCGCTTTGAGAGGCCAAGGAAGGTGGATCATTTAAGATCAGGAACTCGAGATCACCCTGGCCAACATGTGGGAAATTCATCTTTACTAAACAGACAAGAAAAATTAGCCGAGCATGCCGGCATGCACCTGTAGTCCTAGCTACTTGGGAGGCTGAGGCAGGAGAAGCACTTAAAGCCAGGAGGCAGAGGTTGCACTGAGCCGAGATCATGCCACTGCACTGCAGCCTGGGAGACAGAGAGAGACTCTGTTTCTAAATAAATAAATACATCTATATTCTTTTTTTTGTTACCCTCCACCCTTCCCTTCCTGGCCTCTGGTGTCCACCATTGTATTCTCCACCTTCATGAGATCCACCTTTTATCTCCTGCATGTGGTGAGAAATGGGAATCTTTGTAATGACCTCCAGTTCCATCCATGTGGCTGCAAATGACAGGATGTTATTGTTTCTATGGATGAGTAGTCTCCACCGTGTGTGTGTACTACAGTTCTCTATCCATTCACCCACTGATAGGCAGGTAGGTTGACTCCACATCTTGGCTACTGTGAACAGTGCTGGAACAGTCATATGAGTGCAGATATCACTTCGATACACTGATGTCCTTTCCTTTGGATATAAACCCAGTAGTGAAATTGCTGGACACTATGAAAGTTCTCTTTTTTTTTTTTCCTTTTTTGAGAAAGAGTTTCCCTCCTTAGTCCAAGCTGGAGTCTAAGTGGTGAGATCTTGGCTCATTGCAACCTGTGCCTCCTAGGTTCAAATGATTGTCCTGACTCAGCCTCCCTAGTAGCTGTGATTACAGGTGCACGCCACCATGCCTGGCTAATTTTTGTACTTTTTTAGCACAGACGGGATATCCCAATTTTGGGCAGGCTGCTCTCAAACTCCTGACCTCAAGTGAGGTGCCTGCCTCGGTTTCCCAAAGTGCTGAAGTTACAGGCATAAGCCACTATGCCCAGCCTCCTTTTAGTTTTTTAAAGAATTTCCATACTTTTCTCCATAATAGTTGTACTAATTTACATTCCTACCAACAGGGTACCAGGGTTCTCCTTTCTCTACCATCTTGCCAGCATTTGTTTTGCCTGTCTTGCAGTAAAAGCCATTTTACTTTACTTTATTTTATTTATTTATTTATGTTGAGATGGAGTTTCACTCATAGTCGCCCAGGCTGGAGTGCAAGGGTGTGATCTCAGCTCACTGCAACCTCCGCCTCCCGCGTTCAACTGATTCTCCTGCCTCAGCCTCCAAAGTAGCTGGGATTACAGGCATGTGCCACCACGCCTAGCTAATTTTTGTATGTTTAGTAGAGAGGGAGTTTCTCCATGTTGGTCAGGCTGGTCTCCCGACCTCAGGTGATCCGCCCACCTCCGCCTCCTGAAGTGCCGGAATTACAGGCGTGAGCCACCGGCCTAAAAGGCATTTTAATGGGATGAGATGAAAACTCATCGCGATTGTAATTTACATTTCTCTGATGATGAGTGATGCCGAGTACTTTTTCATATACGTGATCGCCATTTCTATGTTTTGTTTGTGGAGAAATGTCTCCTCATGACTTTTGCTCTTTTTTTGAATTAAATTGTTTTATTGAGTTGTTTGAGCTTCTTATATTTCCAGTTATTAATCCCGTCTCAGATGAATAGTTTGCAAATATTTGCTCCTATTTTGTCGGTTGTCTCTTCACTTTCTTGGTTTATCTTTTGTGGTGCAGAAGTTGCTTGGTTTGATGTAATCCTAATGGTCTATTTTTTGCTTTGATTACTTGTGTTTTGAAGGTTTTAAACAAAATGTCTTTCGTCAGACAAATGTCTTCCCCATTATTTTCTTCTACATGTTTCATAGGTTCAGGCCTTAGACTCATGTTTTTAATCCATTTTCATTTGATTTTTGTGTAAGGTGACAGGTATAGATGCAGTTTTATTCCTCTGCATGTAGATATCCAGTTTTCCCCACACCATTTATTGAAAAGACTGTCCTTTCCTGATTGTAAGTTCTCGGCACCTTTGTCAAAGTCCATTAAATGGGCTGGGTATGGTGGCTCACACCTGCAATTCCAGCACTTTGGGAGGCCGAGGCGGATGGATCACCTGAAGCCAGGAGTTCAAGACCAGGCTGGCCAACAGAGTGAAACCTCGTCTCTACTAAAAATACAAAAATTAGCTGAGCATGGTGACCAGTGCCTGTAATACCACTACTCGGGTGTTTGAGGCAAGAGAATTGCTTGAATCCAGGAAGTGGAGGTTGCATTGAGCTGAGATTGCACCTCTGCACTCCAGCCTGCATGACAGAGCAAGATTCTATCACACACACACACAAAAAAAGCCATTGGATGTAAATGCATGGATTATATCTGTGTTCTCCATTCTGTTCCATTTTTTATGTGCCTTTCTTTATGCCAATGTCATGCTGTTTTGCTTACTACAGCTCTGTAACATATTTCTAAGTCAGGTAGTGTGATGCTCCTGTTTTCTCTTTATACCTTCAAGTCTCAAGACAGTGGGCATCGCACACAAAAATTATGGAGAAGAGGATCCCAAGACTCCCAGGGTCCAACATTAGATAACAGAGTGTTGGCCATGAACCAACCTCAAAGATTTCCATTGAGTAGAGGACAAGCACCCTCATTTCCTCACATCTCTCCTGTCCCGTGTTCTAGGAAACCCTTCAAGTAGTTGGCCTTCACCCACAGAACCAAGCTCCAAATCTGGTGAGTAAAGGACCCCTCTTATCTCTGCTTTTGGAAACCTGGGGAGGTGGAAGCCTTGGATGCAAGTGTTGGCTCAAACCTCCCAGCTCTGTGAATGAGGGCCTGTCTTCCACCATCTCTGAACTCCAGACACTCCAACAGTGAAAGGGATCTAGGGCCACCAAAGGGCTCAGCGAAGTCTCTTAACCTTTAATATCCTGCAGGTGAGACCTCCTACAAGCTAGAAGAATGATTGCCAATCTGACATCCTTCTCAGGAAACATGCAGTGTTTTTTCTTCCTGCATTCCTAACTGGAGGATAAATTCCTGGGGACTTGAGAGAGGGAAGGGAAGGGAACATCTGATGAGGGCGAGGTGTTTTAGAGAAGTTCCACTTGCCAAGGAATGAATTACTGTTGGTCATGAAGCAACCCTGGCTGACTCAGCAGAGCAAGAGCCTTGCCGTAATAGAGAACAGAGCTCATGCACGCACACTTCGACTCACTGACTCATTCAGCCACAGCCCCATGCTCAGGCTGTGCAGTTGGAATCCTTTCCTATTGTTGCCATAACAAATTTCCACAAGATTCGTGGGTGAAAACAAAGCGGCTTTTTAATTATCTTACAGTGCTGTAGCTCAAAGTATGAAGTGCATCTCACTGGGCTAAAAACAAGGTGACAGCAAGGCTGCCTTCCCTTGCCTGAGGATTCCAGGCAAGAATCTGCTTCTCACTTGTCCCATCTTATAAAGGCTCCCAGTTCCTTGGCTCCTGGTCCCCTTCCTCCTTCCTCAAAGCCCACAAAGGCTGGTCACATCTCACATGGCATCACTCAGACCCTTCTTCCTTACCACACCTCTTTCTCTGAATGCTGCTCTCCCTTCTTCCTTATCTTTTGAAAACTTGGGGATTCTATTGGGTTCACCAAGATGAAAATCCATCATAATCTCCCGGAAATCATTCAGGATACCCTTGTTTTAAGTTCAGCTGACTAGCAACCGTAATTCCATCTGCAATCTTCATTCCTTCTTTCCATGTAAAATAACATATTCACAAGCTATGGAGGCCAGGACAGGGACATTTTGGGGTGGGACAGCATTCTCCTGCCTTCCACGAACGGTGAACAAGATGCATTTGGCCTCTGCTCTTGGGACACTGATATTGCAGATGGTTAAATGGGAGGGCAGAAAATGAATGCACAAGTGGACCAATAAATGAATGATCCATTGGGAAGCATCTGTGTATGAAATCTATTTGTTTGTTCGTTCATTTATTTATTGAGACAGAGTCTCCCTCTGTCTTCCAGGCTACAGTGCAGTGTCACGATCTTGGCTCACTGCAACCTGCGTCTCCTGGATCCAAGTGATTCTCCTGCCTCCGCCTCTCGAGTAGCTGGGATTACAGGCAACTGCCACCATGCCCGGCTAATTCTTTTTGTATATTTTTTGTAGAGAGGATGTTTCACCATATTGGCCAAGCTTGTCTGAAACTCCCAACCTCAAGTGATCCGACCATCTCAGCAACCCAAAGTACTGGGATTACAGGCGTGAGCCACTTTGCCCAGCCAGAATTCAAAATAAATAATAGATAATGCTGAGTGTATAATTTTGGGTGACAGAGAAGGTCTCACTAATCAGATATTTGTGACATTAATGAAAAACACGGATTGAACCCCTGAAAGATTGGCGGAAGGATTTTCCACACAGCTGTCAGCTGTGAAGGCACAAAGGTGAAAACAATCTGATGTTGAAGGAAGAGGCTCTGACTCAAATGCTGGGAATGAAGTGGGGAGAATGACAAGACGACTGTGGAGAGACGGAGAGCACACTGGGTACACAGGAAACTAAGGAGCAACAAGGAGTGTGTGTTTGACACTCACAGCCCTTGGATTCACCTCGGGGTAACCAGGAATCCCTACATGATTAATAGTGACTGACATGAAAATAAGGGAGGCCCAGGTGCGTAACTGGAATCTAGGAGACCGTGGAAAAGGCAATTCCCGCCCCACTGGTGAAATGTGGTGCTGATTTAGACCCTAAGTGGATGAAGCAGATGGATATAAGCTATGCTTGGGAGGTAGAATCATTTGCAGGGAGGGCTTGCTGGGTTTGAGTTTCCTAGTTGTTTAATCCTTGCTAAATTAATTTCTTTCTGAGATTTATTCCTCCTACACATAAATCAATACCTGGCAAAGGAGTGACAGATATATGAGGGGTGGTGGAAATGAAGGGACCTATTATAGCATAGTATACAAGTCTGTGAACGGTGGCTCACTCCTGTAACCCAGCACTGCAGGAGGCTAAGGCCAGTGGATTCCAAGAAGTCAGGAGTTCGAGACCAGCCTGGCCAACATGGTGAAACCCTATCTCTACATGGTGAAACCCTATCTCTCCTAAAAATACAAAAATTAGCCGAGCATGGTGGTGCATCCCTGTAATCCCAGCTCCTGCTCTGGAGGATGAAGCAGGAGAATGACTTCAACCCAGGAGATGGAGGTTGCAGTGAGTGGAGATCGCATCACTGCACTCCAGCCTGGGTGACACAAGGAGACTCCATCTCAAAAAATAAAAATAAGAAATGCATAAATATAATAAAACACACACGAATGACAAAGGCACCTGAATTCCCATCATCATTTTTCTATTTCTCTATAATTACTTCTTTGATCCTTTATCTTATCCATTAGGCAATCAGCCTAAAACCTCTTCCGTATTTGGCTTTCTGTGAGCATGAGATCATATAGAAAATGTGAAAGCCCGCTGAATCCTCCAGCACAAATCCTGGAATAGAGAAAGTGCTCTCGTCATCACAAAAAAAACTTGCCCCCTCACCCAAATCCCCCATCTCACCCCTACTTCCAATCACCTGTGGAGATACAGATAGATCATGGGGAGGTAAATGCTAATACTCCTTGGAGTGAGTCCAGATCTTGGAATCAGAGATCAGCGACAGCACTAGCTCCTGCTCCCCTTTCCTACTAATTCACAGGAGGACAGGTGGTATTGAAGCAATAGATAGTCGAGGGGGTGGTCCTTCCCCCAGCCTCTCAGGTAGAACAGCAGCCTAACATGTGTCTCCCGAGATCACAAAGAGTAGCACATTTCACACGGGCTTCAACACTATTTTCTGGCTGTTTGACATAAGAGAATTCTACTTCGCTTTTTTTATATTGATTTCACTTTTGTTTCCTTTTCTTGGAGAATGCAAGTTGTTTAACTCAAGAATGCCGTGGATGTAGAAATCCTAAAGCACATTCGCTGTGTATCAATCCCAGTCCAGTCTTCCCAGAGAAGACTCTAAACACCTCCTGGACTGCACCTGGGCCTATGCCAATTCCTATCACTCACCGTCACTCCAGGGAGACAGAACACACAGAGAATACGTTACATAGGCAGGTTCATTACTAACAGATAAGCAGCGAGTGACAACAGAAGCCTACATTTCAATGTGAGCCAGTTCCCCAAGGCTCAGAAAAGCTGCTCGAGACATGTGGAGTCACCCCATTTGCAGTGTAGCTGGGGGAAGCCAGAAAGCAGCCCAGCCTGGGTTTTGTACCCTGGAGCCACAGGAAGCACTCAGCTAAAGCACTGCATGACGTCCTCCTCCAGGAAGAACAGGAAGACAGCCCAGGCTGTTCTGGGACGATCCTCCTGATCTCAGGACTTTGCTGTCTTAGTCCATTTTTGTTGCTCTAAAGGAACACTTGAGCCTGGGTAACTTCTAAAGAAGAGATTGGTTTGCCTCACCATTCTGCAGGCTGTACTGGAAGCATGGCACCAGCATCTATTTCTTATGATGGCCTCAGGCCGCTCCCACTCTGGCAGAAGGGAAGGAGGGTCTGTCTGTGCAGAGACCACAGAGATCACACGGCAAGAGAGGGAGCAAGGGGGAGGGGGAGCAATGGAGCTTCCAAGCTCTTTTTAACAACCAGCTCTCCAGGAACTAATAGAGAGGGAACTTGCTAACCCCGTCTCCTTGGGACAGCATTGATCTGTTCATGATGGATCCACCTCCATGACCCAAACACCTCCCAAGAGGCCCAACCTCCCACACTGGGGGTTAAATTTCAATGTGAGGTTTGAAGGGGTCAAACATCTCAACTAAAGTAGTTGTATCCTCAGCACGTTCCATGGTTACTATGAGAGCTATAACTGAGAAAGCAGGAGGAAGCTAGGTCTCCCGCCATCTGGGTGCTTGTCCGAAAGAGATGCTGTAAGTGGTTACCTGTCAATCAAGAAATGCAAGACAATTCATATAGAGAAACTGCTATGATTAGCTTCTTACTGGTGTCTCCTCTTCTTCCAGGTAACCCCAGACACCTGCACATTCTGATTGGGACCTCAGTGGTCATCATCCTCTTCATCCTCCTCCTCTTCTTTCTCCTTCATCTCTGGTGCTCCAACAAAAAAAGTAAGTCTCACGCGGCACAGGCCAGAGAGCTCAGGGCCATGTGGGGAAGCAGGATGGGAGCACACAGCTGTGTGTTCCTCACTGGCAGGATGGTCCCTGGCCCAAGACAGGAGCCACAGAGGCAGGACTTTCTAGAGAGAGCACCAGACTCCCTGCCCCTGCCTTCAGCTCACAGACCGTTGCCTGATTCTGAACTGTATCCTCATGTCCCCTGCAGCCACTCACATCCAGGAGAAGGTTCCATGACAGGCAGAAAGTGGGAGACAGAATCAATGGGATGGGAACTCAGAGCTATTCATGGGATGGGTCCTTGAGCTCAGAGAGATAGAATGTCTGAGTCTGCTGTTGGCAACTGAGGGACCTCAGGCACCTATGGCCTCCCCCTGTTTGTTGGTATCTGCTTATGAAATGAGGACCCAGAAGTGCCCTCCGAGCTCTTTTGTTGACTTCCGTCTCCTACAGATGCTGCTGTAATGGACCAAGAGCCTGCAGGGAACAGAACAGCCAACAGCGAGGTAGGTGCTCCTCGGCCCAGCCTCATGGCTAGTGTTATTCCCAAACAGTCCTGGAAAACGTGAGCACCCTCCCTCACTCAGCATTTCCCTCCCTCACTCAGCATTTCCCTCTCTCCAGGACTCTGATGAACAAGACCCTGAGGAGGTGACATACGCACAGTTGGATCACTGCGTTTTCACACAGAGAAAAATCACTCGCCCTTCTCAGAGGCCCAAGACACCCCCTACAGATACCATCTTGTACACGGAACTTCCAAATGCTAAGCCCAGATCCAAAGTTGTCTCCTGCCCATGAGCACCACAGTCAGGCCTTGAGGGCGTCTTCTAGGGAGACAACAGCCCTGTCTCAAAACCGAGTTGCCAGCTCCCATGTACCAGCAGCTGGAATCTGAAGGCGTGAGTCTTCATCTTAGGGCATCGCTCCTCCTCACGCCACAAATCTGGTGCCTCTCTCTTGCTTACAAATGTCTAGGTCCCCACTGCCTGCTGGAAAGAAAACACACTCCTTTGCTTAGCCCACAGTTCTCCATTTCACTTGACCCCTGCCCACCTCTCCAACCTAACTGGCTTACTTCCTAGTCTACTTGAGGCTGCGATCACACTGAGGAACTCACAATTCCAAACATACAAGAGGCTCCCTCTTGACGTGGCACTTACCCACGTGCTGTTCCACCTTCCCTCATGCTGTTTCACCTTTCTTCGGACTATTTTCCAGCCTTCTGTCAGCAGTGAAACTTATAAAATTTTTTGTGATTTCAATGTAGCTGTCTCCTCTTCAAATAAACATGTCTGCCCTCATTGCTTCAGGTAATGTGACACTGTATTCGCTGAAAGAAACCGCTGTTATCATTACCATGTCCACATAACCCCATCTGTTCTCCGCTGGGTTCTCACCCCTGGACTCTGAGCTTCTGGAAGCAGGGTGGAGCCTCATTTGTCTCTGGGACTCCAATTTCCATCCAAAGATGCAGCACATAGGAGGTTCCAAGGATCGTGAATCACATGAACAAGTGATATTCTTACTCTCTGCAACCTGGAAAGCTGGCAGAGTCATTCCACGATGAAACATTTGTAGAGTCATAAGCCTTGCTAGTCTCATCTCCACGGGGACACATATCAACACATCATATTTCATACTATAAATATACAGTCGCTCCTCCATATCTGTGGGGTTTACAGGTGTTTATTGAACCAAGTGTAAATCAAAAATATTCAGAGAAAATGTCCACAAAGTTTCAAAATGCAAAACTATGTTGAATGGACACAAATGAGGCAGTGTGTAGGCTGTATCAGGAATTATAAGTAATCAAGAGATGATTTCATGTATACAGGAGGATGTGCATGGGTTATATCCAAATGCTGTGTCATTTTATGTAAGAGGCTTGAGCATCTGCAGATTTTGGTACCTGAGTGGAGATCCTGAAACCAATCACCCACGAATAGTAAAGGATGACCGTATATGACTTTTATTTCTCAATTTTAAATATAAATCATAAAAAATGTACAATAACTAGATAAAAAGTAAGAAGTGTTTTTATAGTGTGAGAATAAGTTTAGATTTATTTTTTCCTACGTGTAACCCTTTGGTTTAATATTATTTATTGAGAAGACATTCTATGCCACCTTAAACCACACGGCAGCCTTTGTCAACTCTAAAGGGACTGTGTGTACACGGATGTATTTTAGACACTGTTTCTGCTAAGGGGCTCTCTGTGTCCACACTCTTGAGGATGCTGCACTTCATGTAGCCTTATAAAACCCTTTAAATTTAGTAGCCAGAGCCCTCTAATTTGTTATTATAGGCTACTTGCTATTTTTTTTTCTTGAGGCGGAGTCTTGCTCTGTCGCCCAGGCTGGACTGCAGTGACACAATCTCAGCTCACTGCAACTTCCGCCTCCCAGGTTCAGGCGATTCTCGTGCCTCAGTCTCTTGAGTAGCTGGCGTTTCAGGTGCCTGCCACCAGGCATGGCTAATTTTTGAATTTTTAGCAGAGACGCGGTTTCACTGTGTTGGCCAGGCTGCTCTCAATCTCCTCATCTCAGTTGATCCGCCCACCTCGGCTTCCCGACCTGCTGGGGGAAACTTGATTTTCTATAGCATTATGTTACTGGATATTTCTGTAAAATTTAAAATGAGGGAGGCAGAGAGACAGAGAGAGAGCAAACTCCAAAGTTGGGACTCTGGAATCTTGAGTCATGAGACAAATTATAGATAAAACTACAAAAATCCAGAATTTACATGTGTGGTTTTTGCTGATAAAGTACAATTCTAAGATTGTAAATAATTGCATAATCCTTCCCTGGGAATTTAAATCATTTGAACTGGTTCTGCTGTAATACTAGAAATACAAGCATGAACAATTCTAATGGTTTATTAGTCACAATGACTCTGAAAACACTAATAATACCTATTAGATATTTTGCATATTACACAGGAAGAAGAGTTCGAATCTCAGATAAAAACAATAAAAATTCATGAAAAGTCTTTCATGTTAGCACAGATTTTAGGCATCTCATGTTTGGGAGGTTGGATCTAAGACGTGTTTTGAGTTGGTCATAGTGAAGGACGCGAGGTGTCAATTCTAGTGAGAGCAATTTCCAGGAAGCCATGTTCCGCTCTTGAGCGAGCACCCACTGGGCCTCATGCAAGGTAGAAAAAGCCTGCGTACGTCACCCTCCCATGATGTGGTCAACATGTAAACTGCATGGGCAGGGCGCCAAATAACATCCTGTGCGCTGCTGAGCTGAGCTGGGGCGCGGCCGCCTGTCTGCACCGGCAGCACCATGTCGCTCATGGTCATCATCATGGCGTGTGTTGGTGAGTCCTGGAAGGGAATAGAGGGAGGGAGCGTGGGGATGGAGATCTGGGCCCAGAGGTGGAGATATGGGCCTGGAGGTGGAGTTATGGGCCTGGAGTGGAGATCTGGGCCTGGAGTGGAGATCTGGGCCTAGAGATGGAGTGATGGGCCTAGAAGTGGAGATCTGCGCCTGGAGTGGAGATCTGGGCCTGGAGTGAAGATCTGGGCCTGGAGTGGAGATATGGGCCTGGAGTGGGGATAGGAACCTGGAGTGGAGAGAGGAACCTGGAGGAGAGATAGGAACCTGGAGGGGAGGTAGGAGCCTAGGGTGGAGATATGGGACTGGAGTGGAGATATGGGACTGGAGTGGAGATATGGGCCTGGAGTGGAGTTATGGGCCTGGAGTGAAGTTATGGGCCTGGAGGTGGAGATATGGGCCTGGAGTGGAGATATGAGCCTGGAGTGGAGATATGGTCCTGGAGTGGAGATATGGGCCTGGAGTGGAGATATGGGTCTGCAGTGGAGTTATGGGCCTGGAGTGAAGTTATGGGCCTGGAGGTGGAGATATGGGCCTGGAGTGGAGATATGGGACTAGAGTGGAGATAGGGGCCTGGAGGTGGAGATCTGGGCCTGGAGTGGAGATCTGGGCCTGGAGTGGAGATCTGGGCCTGGAGTGGAGATATGGGCCTGGAGTGGAGATATGGGTCTGCAGTGGAGATATGGGCCTGGAGGTGGAGATATGGGCCTGGAGTGGAGTTATGGGCCTGGAGTGAAGTTATGGGCCTGGAGGTGGAGATATGGGCCTGGAGTGGAGATATGGGACTAGAGTGGAGATAGGGGCCTGGAGGTGGAGATCTGGGCCTGGAGTGGAGATATGGCCCTGGAGTGGAGATATGGGCCTGGAGTGGAGATATGAGCCTGGAGTGGAGATATGGCCCTGGAGTGGAGATATGGGCCTGGAGGTGGAGATATGGGCCTGGAGTGGAGTTATGGGCCTGGAGTGAAGTTATGGGCCTGGAGGTGGAGATATGGGCCTGGAGTGGAGATATGGGACTAGAGTGGAGATACGGGCCTGGAGGTGGAGATCTGGGCCTGGAGTGGAGATATGGCCCTGGAGTGGAGATATGGGCCTGGAGTGGAGATATGAGCCTGGAGTGGAGATATGGCCCTGGAGTGGAGATATGGGCCTGGAGTGGAGATATGAGCCTGGAGTGGAGATATGGCCCTGGAGTGGAGATATGGGCCTGGAGTGGAGATATGGGCCTGGAGTGGAGATATGGGTCTGGAGTGGAGATATGGGCCTGGAGGTGGAGATATGGGCCTGGAGTGGAGATATGGGCCTGGAGGTGGTGATATGGGCCTGGAGTGTAGATATGGGCCGAGTGGAGATATGGTTCTGGAGTGGAGATATGGGCCTGGAGTGGAGATATGGGACTGGAGTGGAGATATAGGCATGGGGTGGAGACATGGGCCGGGAGTGGAGATATGGGACTGGAGTGGAGATACGGGCATGGGGTGGAGATATGTGCCTGGAGGTGGAGATATGGGCGTGGGTTGGAGATATGGGCCTGGAGTGGAGATATGGGCATGGGGTGGAGATATGGGTCTGGAGTGGAGACATGGGCATGGGGTGGAGATATGGGCCTGGTGTGTAGATATGGGCCTGGAGTGGAGATATGGCCCTGGAGTGGAGATATGGGCCTGGAGTGGAGATCTGGGCCTACGGTGAAGATATGGGCCTAGGATGGGGATATGGGCCTGGAATGGAGATATGGGCCTGGGTGTGGAGATATGGGACTGGAGTGGAGATATGGGCCTGATGTGGAGATATGGGCTTGGAGTGGAGATATGATCCTGGAGTGTAGTTATGGGCCTGGAGGTGGAGATCTGGGCCTGGGGTGGAGATATGGGCCTGGAGTGGAGATATGGGACTGGAGAGGAGATATGGGCCTGGAGTGGAGATATGGGCCTGGATTGGAGATATGGGCCTAGGGTGGAGATCTGAGCCTGGATTGGAGATGTGGGCCCGGATTGGCTATATGGGTCTAGGGTGGAAATATCGGCCTGGAGTGGAGATATGGGCCTGGAGTGGAGATATGGGCTTGGGGTGGGGATATGGGCCTGGAGGCTGGGTCTCTGCACAGCCGAGAGCACTGTTCTTGGGTGCAGGTAGGCACTGATGGTGAGTTTCCCTTCGGCCCAGGAAGGGGCTGGCTATCAAGACTCACAGCCCAGTGGGGGCAGCAAGGAAGGCCTTGTTTGCCTGCAAATGGATCTTCCATCATGATCTTTCTTTCCAGGGTTCTTCTTGCTGCAGGGGGCCTGGCCACAGGAGGGTAAGTCCTTCTCCAAACCTTAGGGTGTCATCTCCCCACATAAGAGGATTTTCCTGAAACGGGAGGGAAGTCCTGTCAGGGAGTCTCTTATAAACTAGGAAGAGGGGACCCTGGGGTGCTCGGCCCACAGTTCCGACCTTGCCTCCCTGGCCTCTCAACCCCTTGGCAGAGTCAAGTTGTGTGGGGACCAGGGTTGGACTAGGGTGTTCAAAGCTGGGTTGTGTGGTGGGGAAGTGGTAGGAACAGCAGATCCTCTGAGGACAAAGGTGTTACTCACACACTTCAGCGTTTCCATGATGGTAGGGGCTGCAGTGTGGCTGCTGTCATTCTACCAGAAGAGGTGGGAAACCACAGCCATGGCCCTGACATTCCAAATCCTCTGATGGGGGCTAAGTTTTTTATTTTCATTCAGGCAACTGCTGATATTCCATTCTCAAAGGACATGCCCTCCACTTCATGTCTACCCTGTGTTGTTTTATGTGAGTAATCTTACAGTATTAAAATCTAGTAGGAGTCTCTTACTCAGCACTTGCTCAAAGTTCTCAGCTGACACTTTTGTTGTACGGAGACACCTTGTCTTTGTGGGATGGGTCCTTCCTTTAGCCCTAGGCACCAAGGTGTGATAGCAGCCATAGAAATGTGGAAAGTGGGGAGAATCTTCTGAGCACAGGGAGGGAGGCACAGCTCCACATCCTCCTCTCTAAGGCGGCGCCTCCTTCACCCCAAGGTGGTCAGGACAAGCCCTTGCTTTCTACCTGGCCCAGCCTTGTGGTGCCTCCAGAACATGTGACTCTTCAGTGTCACTCTAATCTTGGGTTTAACAACTTCAGTCTGTACAAGGATGATGGGGTGCCTGTCCCTGAGCTGTACAACAGAATATTCTGGAAAAGCCTTTTCATGGGCCCTGTGACCCCGTCACATGCAGGGACCTATAGATGCCGGGGTTCACACACACACTCCCCCAGTGGGTGGTCGGCACCCAGCAACCCCCTGGTGATTATGGTCACAGGTCAGAGGGCTCCTGTCTGGGATTCTCCTTGTCCCACCTCCTGAATCCCAGAGCTTCTGGTAGGCATGTCCTTGAGGGTCCCATCACGCAGGCCCTAACTGTATTTGGGGTAAAGGGGGATTGAATACAGGGAAATGGGTGCTGTGGTGGGAAGAATAAGTGTCCCCAATGATGACTGCATTCTAATCCCTGGAGTCTGTGACTATTTATGTTATAGGGGAAGGGACTGAAGGGGAAGATGGAGCTCAGGTTGTTGATGAGTTGACCTTGAGATGGGGAGACAGCCTGGACTGTCCCGGTGGGCTCAGTATAATCACAAGGGTCCACATGAAAGGAGGAGGAAGAGGAGAGTGGGGATTAGAGCAGCGTAGTGGGAGACTCCATCAGCTTTGAAGGTGGATGAAGGCCATAAGCCATGAATGCAGGTGGCCTATAGAGGCTGGGAAAGTCAAGTAACTGATTCTCCTGAGTCTCCAGAGGGAACACAGCCCTGCAGATGCCTTGATTTTAGCCCTCGAAAAACAGCGTCCGCTTTCTGTCTCCAGAATCGGAGGGGGTCAGTGTGCTCTCTCCTGCTGCCATGCTTCTGATAATTTTCTACAGCAGCAACAGGAAACCAACACTGGAACCCAGGTCAAGGACAAGTTAAGAAAAGACACAAGGATAGCCAGGCATGGTGGCAGGTGCATGTAATCCTAGCGACTCGGGAGGCTGAGAGCAGGAGAATCGCTTGAACCCAGGAGACAGAGGTTGCAGTGAGCGTAGACCACACCACTTCACTCCAGCCTGGGCGAAGGAGTGAGACTCTGTCTCCAAAATTAATTAATTAATTAAAGAAACCAAACAAAGAGAAGGTTGGCTACACCGAGATCAGCAAGGGTGGGATGATGATGCTACCACCAGGCTCCATCCACATAGGGAGGGGTTGATACTCCTCAAATCAGCACGAGGAGCCAGCCTATGGAAACTGGCACCATGGAGAAGGCACAGACATGGCAAGAGTGGCTCCCAGTCCCCACCAGGAACAGGGTGTGTGGACACTGGTGCCTGCCTTACTGATCAGTTCATACCTCCTGCCAAGGATTCCAATTCGTCCAAAAGAGATTGAACCAGGCTGCTAAGAGCCGGGACGTGCAGCCTATCCTGCTTCCTCTTCCACTCCCACATAGACAGTAAGAAAGACATTAGTGTGAAATAGATACAACAGCCCAAGAGATGAGGCTGAGCCCAGTGGGAAGGGAATCACAGCTACTAGAGACAGAGGGACAGAGAAGAGGGAGGGAGACAGATGGAAGGACCTGCACCAGGAGTTATGGGCACAGAAAAGAACATGAAGACACAGAGAGGAAGCAGAGAGACAGACACCAGCGAAGGGAAGGCTCACTCATTCCAGGTGCCATGGATGGGATGATAAAGAGAGACACCTTCTAAACTCACAACCTCTCTTCCTAGAAGTCCACAGAAAACCTTCCTTCCTGGCCCTCCCAGGTCACCTGGTGAAATCAGAAGAGACAGTCATCCTGCAATGTTGGTCGGATGTCATGTTTGAGCACTTCCTTCTGCACAGAGAGGGGAAGTTTAACAACACTTTGCACCTCATTGGAGAGCACCATGATGGGGTTTCCAAGGCCAACTTCTCCATTGGTCCCATGATGCCTGTCCTTGCAGGAACCTACAGATGCTACGGTTCTGTTACTCACTCCCCCTATCAGTTGTCAGCTCCCAGTGACCCTCTGGACATGGTGATCATAGGTGAGAGTGTCCAGACATTCTTCTCATTGTCATTGGGATGCAGAGTGAATGATCCAGGACTTGGAGACCCAGGTGGTTGTAAGGAAGATGAGCTTGGTATTCTTATGGAGAGAGACTGACTTGGTGAGGTCTGTGCCAACAGAGACAGAGAAACAAGAGACACAAGTACAGACCAGGTGTCATAACAGAGGACAAACACAGGGGCCATACAGGGAGTTAGAAAAGACAGAAAGAGTTAAAGGAGACAGACAGACATGTCCCAGACAGAGGTGTCCTTCCATGCTGACTTTGCTCAGAGACCTGGCACAGGTTAGAAGTTTCATTTCTGTTTTACCTCCACAAAGTGTTCTCTACCAGGAGAACCCAAGGACACCCATATTTCTGACCTGAGTTGGGCCCTGTGGCCTCAGGCCTTGTGGCACCTACAGATGCCATGCTTATTCTGACACCTCTGACTTCCATGCAATGGAGAATAATCGTCCCAAAATATCATGGCCCCAGAACACCAACCCCTGTATGCTGTGTGAACTTGTGGTCTCCAGACTGGATTCTGAGGCTCACATTCCAAATAACCCCACATATCACATATGAGAGGATCACTGAGAAGCACAGAGAGAAATCAGGGACACCAAAAAGCAAAGACATAAACACACAGAGAAAGAGCCAGAGGAAGGAGATTGAGAGACTCACAGACACATAAAGAGAGAGAAGAGGGCAGAGAAGTGGAGAGAATGATGGAAGAGAGCAGAGAAAACCACTAAAATTAGAGTCCTGAGGGCGAGGCACAAGGGCATAGAAAGATGGAGATGTGGGGATGAATTGCAGAGATTCCAAAGAGAACTAGAGAGACCGAGAGGCAGAGCAAGACAGATGATAGATGGATAGATACAGATAGATGATGGATAGATATAGATAGATGATATATAGGTAGATGATAGATAATAGGTTATAGATACATAGATGATGATTGATTGATTCATTAATAGATGATACATAGAGATGATGATGATGAAGGTAGATGGATAGATAATACATAGAGATAGAGAGGAAGACAAAGAGAGAAATAATAGAGAGAGAGAGATGATACATATATATAGATAATAGATGATTGACGGATAGACAATTGATAGATAAATAGATGATATATAGATATAGATGACAGGTAGAGAATTTGTAGATAGGCACCGAATAGATAAATAGATGGATTGATAGATAATAGATAGAAATATGCAGAAAGTTATGAACGGGACACAAACTGAGAAACTCAGAGTTAAAAAAAGTAACATCAAGTCAACCAATCCAAGGAGAGCCAGAGAGAATAAAACAATCCAAAAACGGAAAACATAACTAGAGGTAGGGAAGTGAGGTCAGAGACCTACAGAGACAGAGAAGGTGGAAGGAGGAAATAGACATGAAGAGAGATGGGGTGGAGGGTGAGACAGAGAAAGAGAGCATTAGGCCATAGAGCAGGGGAGTGAGTTCTCAGGTCAGGTGTGAGGGGAGCTGTGACAAGGAAGATCCCCCCTGAGGAAACTGCCCCTTCTCCTTCCAGGTCTATATGAGAAACCTTCTCTCTCAGCCCAGCCGGGCCCCACGGTTCAGGCAGGAGAGAATGTGACCTTGTCCTGCAGCTCCATCTATCCAGGGAAGGGGAGGCCCATGAACGTAGGCTCCCTGCAGTGCGCAGCATCAACGGAACATTCCAGGCCGACTTTCCTCTGGGCCCTGCCACCCACGGAGGGACCTACAGATGCTTCGGCTCTTTCCGTGACGCTCCCTACGAGTGGTCAAACTCGAGTGATCCACTGCTTGTTTCCGTCACAGGTGAGGAAACCCCATATCTGTCCCATGTCCTATGATCCTAGAGCCTTAGCTGAGGAGCTTCCTGCTGATGATGGAGAGAAGCATGGACAGATGCAGAGAGAAGACGCAGCATGCCTGTGAGGGAGGGATCAGGGCGCAGGATGGCACACACAGCACCTCCAAACCCTCCTGCATGGCCTGCATGGAGGCCTCCGATTAGGGCTCCAGGCACCCAGGCAGATGTAGAAAGCGGTCAGGAGAGACCCAGAGCAGGGGAGACTGGGCTCAGTTTGGGGAGATCAGAGGTTCCCTCAGCCCCTCAACCTTACCCATTTCCCAGAAGCCCTTCCTGGCCTCTCACCCACACAGAGATGTCATCACCAGCAACCCCTACATCCTTTTCTTTTTGTTTGAAAAAATATTCATTGAGGTTAAATATACCTATATAGCTTACCACTTTTAACATTTTTTTTTTTTGAGGTGGAGTCTAGCTCTGTCTCCTATGCTGGAATGCAGTGGCACAATCTCAGCTCACTGTAACCTCCGCCTCCTGGGTTCAAGCGATTCTCCTGCCTCAGCCACCTGAGTAGCTGGTACTACAGGCGCCCATCACCACGCCAGGCTACTTTTTGTATTTTTAGTAGAGAGGGGGTTTCACCATGTTGGTCGAGCTGCTCTGGAACTCCTGACCACGTGATCCACCCGCCTCAGGCTCCCAAAGTGCTGGGATTACAGGCATGAGCCACCGCGCCCGGCCACGTTTACCAATTTTAAGTGTAAGGTCTAGTGGTCATAAATACATACATATAAATTTTTTGTTTGTTTGTTTTATCCTCCACCCTTTTCTTCCTGGCCTCTGGTAGCCACCATTCTACTCTCTATCTTCATGAGATCCACCTTTTAGCTCCTGTATATGGGTGAGAAATGGGAATCTTTGTAATGACTTCCAGTTCCATCCATGTGGCTGCAAATATCAGGATGTTATTCTTTCTATGGATGAGTAGTCTCCGCTGTGCGTATGTACTACATTCTCTCTATCCATTCATCCACTGATGGGCAGGTAGGTTGACTCCACATCTTGGCTACTGTGAAGAGTGCTGCACCAATCATACGAGTGCAGATATCACTTCGATACATTGATTTACTTTCCTTTGGATATAAACCCAGTAGTGAAATTGCTGGATACTATGAAAGTTCTCTTTTTAGTTTTTCGTTTGTTGTTTTGTTTTTGTTTTTGAGACAGTTTCCCTCTGTGCCCAGGCTGGAGTACAAGTGATGTGATCTTGGCTCATTGCAACCTCCGCTTCCTGGGTTCAAATGATTTTCCTGCCTCAGCCTCCCTAGTAGCTGGGATTACAGGTGCACGCCACCATGCCGGGATACTTTTTGGTTTTTTTTAGTGTACATGGGGTTTCCCCAGGTTGGCTAGGCTGCTCTCAAACTCATGACCTCAACTGAGGTGCCCGCCTCGGTCTCCCAAAGTGCCGGGATTACAGGCATGATCCACTTCATCCAACCTCTTTTTAGTTCTTTAAAGGACTTCCATACTTTTCTCCGTAATGGCTGTACTAATTTACACTCCTACCAACAGGGTACCAGGGTTCTCCTTTCTCTACCACCTTGCCAGCATTTCTTTTGCCTGTCTTGCAGCTAAAAGCCATTTTATTTTATTTCATTTTATTTTGAGATGGAGTTTCGCTCTTCTCACCCAGGCTGGAGTGCAGTGGTGCGATCTCGGCTCACCGCAACCTCCACCTCCCAGGTTCAAGCGATTCTCCTGCCTCAGCCTCCCGAGTAGCTGGAATTACAGGCACACGCCACCACGCCCGACTAATTTTTGTATTTTTAGTAGAGACAGCGTTTCTCCATGTGGGTCAGACTGGTCTCAAACTCCCGACCTTATGAGATTCGCCCACCTCGGGCTCTCAGAGTTCTAGGATGACAGACGTGAGCCACCTCGCCCGGCCTAAAAGCCATTTTAATGGGGTGAGATGAAAACTCACTTTGATTTTAATTCGCGTTTCTCTGATGATGAGTGATACTGAGCACTTTTTCGTATGTGGGGAAATTTCATGTCTTTTGCTCCTTTTTCAATTAAATCATTTGTTTTATTGAGTTGTTTGAGCTTCTTATACTTCTAGTTATTAATCCCGTCTCAGATGCATAGTTTGCACATATTTGCTCCCAATCTGTGGGTTGTCTCTTCACTTTGTTGGTTTATTTTTAGCGGTGCAGAAGTTGCTTAGTTTGAGGTAATCCCAATGGTCTATTTTTGCTTCGATTACTTGTGTTTTGAAGGTTTAAAACAAAATGTCTTCCTTCAGACAAATGTCCTGGAGCATTTCCCCAATATTTTCTTCTACGTGTTTCACAGGTTCAGGCCTTAGACTCACATCTTTAATCCACTTTCATTTGATTTTTGTGTATGGTGACAGGTAGAGGTGCAGTTTCATTCCTCTGCATGTAGATGTCCAGGTTTCCCTGCACTGTTTATTGAAAAAACTGTCCTTTCCTGATTGTGAGTTCTTGGCACCTTTGTCAAAGTCCATTGGATGGGCTGGGCATGGTGGCTAACACCAGCAACTTCAGCACTTTGGGAGGCCAAGGCTGGTGGATCACCTGAGGACAGGAGTACAAGATTACTCTGGCCGACGTGATGAAACATCGTCTCCACTAAAAATATAAAAATTAGCTGAGCATGGTGGTCAGCACCTGTAATACTACTACTCAGGAGTTTGAGGCAAGAGAATTGATTGAACCCAGGAGGCTGAGGTTGCAGTGAACCGAGATTGCACCTCTGCACTCCAGCCTGGGTGACAGAGCGAGACTCCATCTCAAAAGAAAAAATAAAAAAAATTGGATGTAAATGCATGGATTATATCTGTGTTCTTCATTCTGCTCCGTTGTTCTATGTGCCTTTCTTCATGCCAACATCATGCTGTTTTGCTTACTACAGCTCTGTAACATATTTTGAGATCAGGTAGTGTGATGCTCCTGTTTTCTCTTTATACCTTGAAGTCTCAAGACAGTGGGCGTCACATACAAAAATTATGGAAGAAAGGATCCCTGGACTCCCAGGGCCCAATGTTAGATAACAGAGTGTTGGCCATGAACCAAACTCAAAGATTTCCACTGAGTAGAGGACAGACACCCTCATTTCCTCACCTCTCTCCTGTCTCATGTTCTAGGAAACCCTTCAAATAGTTGGCCTTCACCCACTGAACCAAGCTCCAAAACCGGTGAGTACAGGACCCTCTTATATCCGCTTTTGGAACCCTGGGGAGGTGGAAACCTTGGATTCAGGCGTTGACTCAGCATCTCACAGCTCTGACATTGTACGCCTGTCTTCTACCATCTCCGAACTCCAGATACTCCAACAGCGAAAGGGATCTGGGCCCAACACAGGGCTCAGTGAAATCTCTTCATCTCTCATTTTATGGAGCTGAGACCTCCTACAAGCTAGAAGAATGATTGCCAATCTGACATCCTTCTCAGGAAAAATGCAATGTTTGTTCTGCTTGCATTCCTAACTGGAGGATAAATTCCTGGGGGCTTGAGAGAGGGAAGGGAAGCGAACATCTGATGAGGGCGAGGTGTTTTAGAGAAGTTCCACTTGCCAAGGAATGAGCTCCTGTTGGTCATGAAACAACCCTGGCTGACTCAGCAGAGCAAGAGCCTTGCCGTAACAGAGAACAGAGCTCATGCACGCACACTTTGACTCACTGACTTATTCAGCCACGGCCCCATGCTCAGGTTGTGCAGTGTGGAAGCTTTTCCTATTGTTGCCATAACAAATTTCCACAAGATTCGTGGGTGAAAACAAAACGGTTATTTAATTATCTTACAGTGCTCTAGCTCAAAGCATGAAGTGCATCTCACTGGGCTAAAATCAAGATGACAGCAAGCCTGCCTTCCCTCTGAGGATTCCAGGCAAGAATCTGCTTCTCACTTGTCCCATCTTATAAAGGCTCCCAGTTCCTTGGCTGCTGGTCCCCTTCCTCCTTCCTCAAAACCCACAAAGACTGGTCACATCTCACATGGCATCACTCAGACCCTTCTTCCTTACCACACCTCTTTCTCTGAATGCTGCTCTCCCTTCTTCCTCATCTTTTGAAAACTTGGGGATTCTATTGGGTTCACCAAGATGAAAATCCGTCATAATCTCCCGGAAATCATTCAGGATACCCTTGTTTTAAGTTCAGCTGATTAGCAACCATAATTCCATCTGCAATCTTCATTCCTCCTTTCCATGTAAAATAACATATTCACAAGCTATGGAGGCTAGGACAGGGACATTTTGGGGTGGGACAGCATTCTCCTGCCTTCCACAAATGGTGAACAAGATGCATTTGGCCTCTGCTCTTGGGACACTGATATTGCAGATGGTTAAATGGGAGGACAGAAAATGAATGCACAAGTGGACCAATAAATGAATGATCCATTGGGAAGCATCTGTGCATGAAATCTATTTGTTTGTTTGTTCGTTTGTTTATTGAGACAGAGTCTCCCTCTGTCTTCCAGGCTACAGTGCAGTGTCACGATCTTGGCTCACTGCAACCTGCGTCTCCTGGATCCAAGTGATTCTCCTGCCTCACCCTCTCGAGTAGCTGGGATTACAGGCAACTGCCACCATGCCCGGCTAATTCTTTTTGTATATTTTTTGTAGAGAGGATGTTTCACCATGTTGGCCAAGCTTGTCTGAAACTCCCAACCTCAAGTGATCCAACCATCTCAGCATCCCAAAGTACTGGGATAAAAGACGTGAGCCACTGTGCCCAGCCAGAATTCAAAATCAATAATAGATAATGCTGAGTGTATAATTTTGGGTGACAGAGAAGGTCTCACTAATCAGATATTTGTGACATTAATGAAAAACACGGATTGAACCCCTGAAAGATTGGCGGAAGGATTTTCCACACACAGCTGTCAGCCGTGAAGGCAGAAAGCTGAAAACAATCTGATGTGGAAGGAAGAGGCTCTGCCTGAAATGCTGGGAATGAGATGGGGAGAATGACAAGACAACTGTAGAGAGACGGAGAGCACACTGGGTACACAGGAAACTAAGGAGCAACAAGGAGTGTGTGTTTGACACTCACAGCCGTTGGATTCACCTCGAGGTAACCAGGAATCCCTACATGATTAATAGTGACTGACATGAAAATAAGGGAGGCCCAGGTGCGTAACTGGAATCTAGGAGACTGTGGAAAAGGCAATTGCCACCCCACTGGTGAAATGTGGTGCTGATTTTGACACTAAGTGGATGAAGCAGATGGATATAAGCTATGTTTGTGAGGTAGAATCATTGGCTGGAAAGGCTTGCTGGGTTTGATTTTCCTACTTGTTTAATCCTCGCTTAATTAATTTCTTTCTGAGATTTATTCATCCTACACATAAATCAATACCTGGCAAAGGAGTGACAGATATATGAGGGGTGGTGGAAATGAAGGGACCTATTATAGCATAATATACAAGTCTGTGAACGGTGGCTCACGCCTGTAACCCAGCACTGCAGGAGGCCAAGGCGGGTGGATTCCATGAAGTCAGGAGTTCCAGACCAGCCTGGCCAACATGGTGAAACCCTGTCTCTACTAAAAATACAAAAATTAGCCGAGCATGGTGGTGCATCCCTGTAATCCCAGCTCCTACTCTGGAGGATGAAGCAGGAGAATGACTTCAACCCAGGAGGTGGAGGTTGCAGTGAGTGGAGATTGCATCACTGCACTCCAGCCTGGGTGACACAAGGAGACTCCGTCTCAAAAAATAAAAATAAGAAATGCATAAATATAATAAAACACACACGAATGACAAAGGCACCTGAATTCCAATCATCATTTTTCTATTTCTCTATAATTACTTCTTTGATCCTTTATCTTATCCATTAGGCAATGAGCCTAAAACCTCTTCCCTATTTGGCTTTCTGTGAGCATGAGATCACATAGAAAATGTGAAAGCCCGCTGAATCCTCCAGCACGGATCCTGGAATAGAGAAAGTGCTCTGGTCATCGCAAAAAAAAACTTGCCCACTCACCCAAATCCCCCACCTCACCCCTACTTCCAATCACCTGTGGAGATTCAGATAGACCATGGGGAGGAAACATTAATACTCCTTGGAGTGAGTCCAGATCTTGGAATCAGAGATCAGCGACAGCACTAGCTCCTGTTCCCCTTTCCTACTAATTCACAGGAGGACAGGTGGTATTGAAGCAATAGATGGTGGAGGGGGTGGTCCTTCCCCCAGCCTCTCGGGTAGAACAGCAGCCTAACATGTGTCTCCCGAGATCACAAAGAGCAGCACATTTCACACGGGCTTCAACACTATTTTCTGGCTGTTTGACATAAGAGAATCTTGCTTCGCTATTTTTAATCGTGATTTCACCTTTGTTTCCTTTCCTTGGTGAATGCAATTTGTTTGACTCAAGAATGCTGTGGATGTAGAAATCCTAAAGCACATTCGCTGTGTATCAATCCCAGTGCAGTCTTCCCAGAGAAGACTCTAAACAAATCCTGGACTGCACCTGGGCCTATGCCAATTCCTATCACTCACCGTCACTCCAGGGAGACAGAACACACAGAGAATACGTTACATAGGCAGGTTCATTACTAACAGATAAGCAGTGAGTGACAACAGAAGCCTGCATTTCAATGTGAGCCAGTCCCTCAAGGCTCAGAAAAGCTGCTCGGGACATATGGAGTCACCCCATTTGCAGTGTAACTGGGGGAAGCCAGAAAGCAGCCCAGCCTGGGTTTTGTACCCTGGAGCCACAGGAAGCACTCAGCTAAAGCACTGCATGACGTCCTCCTCCAGGAAGAACAGGAAGACAGCCCAGGCTGTTCTGAGACATTCCTCCTGATCTCAGGATGTTGCTATCTTAGTCCATTTTTGTTGCTCTAAAGGAACACTTGAGCCTGGGTAACTTCTAAAGAAAAGAGATTGGTTTGCCTCACAGTTCTGCAGGCTGTACTGGAAGCATGGCACCAGAATCTATTTCTCGTGATGGCCTCAGGCTGCTCCCACTCTGGCAGAAGGGAAGGAGGGTCTGTCTGTGCAGAGACCGCAGAGATCACACGGCAAGAGAGAGAGTAAGGGGGAGAGGGAGCGATGGAGCTTCCAAGCTCTTTTTAACAACCAGCTCTCCAGGAACTAACAGAGGGGGAACTTGCTAACCCCGTCTCCTTGGGACAGCATTGGTCTGTTCATGATGGATCCACCTCCATGACCCAAACACCTCTGAAGAGGCCCAACCTCCCACAATGGGGGTGAAATTTCAATGTGAGGTTTGAAAGGGTCAAACATCTCAACTAAAGTAGTTGTATCCTCAGCACGTTCTATGGTTACTATGAGAGCTATAATTGAGAAAGCAGGGGAAAGCTAGGTCTCCCGCCATTTGGGTGCTTGTCCTAAAGAGACGTTGTATGTGGTTACCTGCCAATCAAGAAATGCGAGACAATTCATAAAGAGGAACTGCTATGATTAGCTTCTTATTGGTGTCTCCTCTTCTTCCAGGTAACCCCAGACACCTACATGTTCTGATTGGGACCTCAGTGGTCAAAATCCCTTTCACCATCCTCCTCTTCTTTCTCCTTCATCGCTGGTGCTCCGACAAAAAAAGTAAGTCTCACGAAGCAGAGGCCAGAGAGCTCAGGGCCATGTGGGGAAGCAGGATGGGAGCACGCGGATGTGTGTTCCTCACCAGCAGGATGGTCCCTGGCCCAAGACAGGAGCCACAGAGGCAGGACTTTCTAGAGAGAGCACCAGATTCCCTTCCCCTGCCTTCAGCTCACAGACCATTGCCTGATTCTGAACTGTATCCTCACGTCCCCTGCAGCCACTCACATCCAGGAGAAGGTTCCATGACAGGCAGAAAGTGGGAGATAGAATCAATGGGATGGGACCTCAGAGCTATTCATGGGATGGGTCCTTGAACTCAGAGAGATAGAATGTCTGAGTCTGCTGTTGGCAACTGAGGGACCTCAGGCACCTATGGCCTCCCCCTGTTTGTTGGTATCTGCTTATGAAATGAGGACCCAGAAGTGCCCTCCGAGCTCTTTTGTTGACTTCCGTCTTCTACAGATGCTGCTGTAATGGACCAAGAGCCTGCAGGGAACAGAACAGTGAACAGCGAGGTAGGTGCTCCTCGGCCCAGCCTCGTGGCTAGTCTTATTCCCAAAGAGTCCTGAAAAATGTGAGCACCCTCCCTCACTCAGCATTTCCCTCTCTCCAGGATTCTGATGAACAAGACCATCAGGAGGTGTCATACGCATAATTGGATCACTGTGTTTTCACACAGAGAAAAATCACTCGCCCTTCTGAGAGGCCCAAGACACCCCCAACAGATACCAGCATGTACATAGAACTTCCAAATGCTGAGCCCAGATCCAAAGTTGTCTTCTGTCCACGAGCACCACAGTCAGGCCTTGAGGGGATCTTCTAGGGAGACAACAGCCCTGTCTCAAAACCGGGTTGCCAGCTCCCATGTACCAGCAGCTGGAATCTGAAGGCATCAGTCTTCATCTTAGGGCATCGCTCTTCCTCACACCACGAATCTGAACATGCCTCTCTCTTGCTTACAAATGTCTAAGGTCCCCACTGCCTGCTGGAGAGAAAACACACTCCTTTGCTTAGCCCACAATTCTCCATTTCACTTGACCCCTGCCCACCTCTCCAACCTAACTGGCTTACTTCCTAGTCTACCTGAGGCTGCAATCACACTGAGGAACTCACAATTCCAAACATACAAGAGGCTGCCTCTTAACACAGCACTTAGACACGTGCTGTTCCACCTCCCTTCAGACTATCTTTCAGCCTTCTGCCAGCAGTAAAACTTATAAATTTTTTAAATAATTTCAATGTAGTTTTCCCGCCTTCAAATAAACATGTCTGCCCTCATGGTTTCGGTAACGAGACTCTTTTCTTGCCTAAGGCTTCCGGTGTTATCATTACCGTGTCCACATAACCCCATCTGTTCTCCATTGGGTTCTCAGCCCTGGACTCTGAGCTTCTGGAAGCAGAATGGAGCCTGATTTGTCTCTGAGACTCCAATTTCCATCCAAAGATACAGCACATAGGAGGCTCCAAGGATCGTGAATCACATGAACAAGTGATATTCTTACTCTCTGCAGACCTGGAAAGCTGGCAGAGTCATTCCACGATGAAACATTTGTAGAGTCATAGGCCTTGTTAGCCTCATCTCCACGGGGACACATATCAACATATCATCTTTCATAATATAAATATACAGTCGGTCCTCCATATCTGTGGGGTTTACAGGTGTTTATTGAACCAACAATAAATCAAAAATATTTTCAGAAAAAAATCCCCGAAGTTTCAAGAAGCAAAAAACTATGTTGAATCGACACAAATTGAGTGGCGTGTAGGCTGTGTCAGGAATTATAAGTAATCAAGAGATGATTTCATGTATACAGGAGGATGTGCATGGGTTCTATGCAATTACTATGCTATTTTTTTTTTTTGAGACAGTCTCACTCTCTCACCCAGGCTGGAGTGCAGTGGCATGATCTCAGCTCACTGCAACCTCCGCCTCCCAGGTTCAAGCGATTGTCTTCCCTCAGCCTCCCCAGTAGCCTCCCCTAGGATTACAGGCACGTGCCACCATGCACAGATAAATTTTTTTGTGTGTGTATTTTTAGTAGAGATGGGGTTTCAGAATGTTGGACCAGCTGGTCTTGAACTCCTGACCTCGTGATCTACCCAACTCAGCCTCCCAAAGTGCTGGGATTACAGGCGTGAGCCACGGTGCCCAGCTTCGCTATGCCATTTCATGCAAGGGGCTTGAGCATCTGCAGATTTTGGTATCTGAATGGGGATCCTGGAACCAATCACCCAGGAATAGTGAAGGACCACAGTATATAATTTTTATTTGTCAATCTTAAAAATAAAGCATAAAAAGTTTACAACAACAAGATAAAAAATAAGAAGTGTTTTTATAGTGTGAGGATAAGTTTAGATTTATTTTTTCCTACGTGTAACCCTATGGTCCTGTGTTATTTATTGAGAAAATATTCTATTCCACCTTAAACTACATGGCAGCCTTTGTCAACTATAAAGGGACTGTGTATCCACAGATGTATTTTAGACACAGTTTTCTGCCCAGTGGTTCTCTGTATCCCCTCTCATGAGGATGCTGCATTTCATATAAACTTATAGAACCCCTTAAAATTTGGTAACCTGAGTTCTCTGATTTGTTATTATAGGTTATTTAGTTTGCTTTTTTTTTTCTTTCTTGAGACAGACTCTTCCTCGGTCACCCAAGCTGGAGTTCAGTGGCTTGAGCTCAGCTCACTGCAGCCTCCGCCTCCCAGGTTCAAGCAATTCTCGTGCCTCAGGTTTAGTACTAGAAACTCATCAGGAAAATTAGAATGGCTTTTTGTCACAATTACTCTGATAATGTTAATAATACCTCTTAGATATTTTGCACATTACACATGAAGAAAAGTTTGAATCTCAGATAAAAACAAAAATACATCAAAAGTCTTTAATGTAAGCACAGAATTCAATCACCTCATGTGTGAGAGGTTGGATCTGAGACGTCTTTTGAGTCTGGTCATAGTGAAGGATGCAAGGTGGCAATTGTAGTCACAACAATTTCCAGGAAGCCATGTTCCGCTCTTGAGCGAGCACCCACTGGGCCTCATGCAAGGTAGAAAGAGCCTGCGTACGTCACCCTCCCATGATGTGGTCAACATGTAAACTGCATGGGCAGGGCGCCAAATAACATCCTGTGCGCTGCTGAGCTGAGCTGGGGCGCGGCCTCCTGTCTGCACCGGCAGCACCATGTCGCTCACTGTCGTCAGCATGGCGTGCGTTGGTGAGTCCTGGAAGGGAATAGAGGGAGGGAGAGTGGGGATGGAGATCTCGGCCTAGAGGTAAAGATATGGGCCTGGAGTGGAGATATGGGCCTGGAGTGGAGATATGGGCCTGGGTGTGGAGATATGGGCCTGGAGGTGTAAATATGGGCCTGGAGTGGAGATATGGGCCTGGAGGGGAGATATGGGCCTGGGTGTGGAGATATGGGCCTGGAGTGGAGATACGGGCCTGGAGTGGAGATATGGGCCTGGGGTGGAGATATGGGCCTGCAGGTGGAGATCTGGGCCTGGAGTGGAGATATGGGCCTGGAGTGGAGATATGGGTCTGATGTGGAGATATGGGCCTGGAGTGGAGATATGGGCCTGGAGTGGAGATATGGGCCTAGAGGGGAGATCTGGGCCTGGAGTGGAGATATGGGTCTGATGTGGAGATATGGGCCTGGAGTGGAGATATGGGTCTGATGTGGAGATATGGGCCTGGAGTGGAGATAGGGGCCTGGAGTGGAGATATGGGCCTGGAGTGGAGATCTGGGCCAGGAAGTGTTGATCTGGGCCTGGAGCCTGGGTCTCTCCACAGCTGAGAGCCCTGTTCTTGGCAGCAGGTAGCAGGGAGGCTAAGTTTACCTTCAGCCCAGCAAGGGCCTGGCTGCCAAGACACACAGTGCAGTGGGGGCAGCAGGGTGCCCTGGTTTGCCTGCAGTTGGATCGTCTATCATGATCTTTCTTTCCAGGGTTCTTCTTGCTGCAGGGGGCCTGGCCACTCATGGGTGAGTCCTTCCCCAAACCTTAGGGTGTCATCTCCCCACATAAGAGGATTTTTCTGAAACAGGAGGGAAGTCCTGTCGGGGAGTCTCTCATAAACTAGGAAGAGGGGACCCTTGGATACTCGGCCCACATTTCTGACCTCGCCCTCCCCGGCCTTTCTTTCCCTTTCCTGAGTCAAGCTCTGTGAAGACTGGGGTGAGACTGGGGTGCTCCAAGCTGGGGTGTGCAGGGAGGAAGTGGTGTCAGCAGCAGAGAAAGAGAGGGATGCAGTGCTAGGAACAGCAGGTCCTCTGAGGACAAAGGTATAACTGACACCCTCCAGCGTTTCCGTGACGGTAGGGACTGCAGTGTGGCTGCGGTCTTTCTACCAGAAGAGGGGGGAAACCACAGCCATGGCCCTGACATTCCAAATCCTCTGAGGGGGCTCAGTTCATGAATTGGCTGATATTCCATTCACATAGGACATGCCCTCCATGCCGTGTCTACTTTGTGTTGTTTTATGTGAGTAATTTTGCAGTATTAAAATCTAGTAAGAGTCACTTATTCAGCACTTGCTCAAAGTTCTCAGCTGACACTTGTTGTAGGGAGACGCCATGTCTATGTGGGGTGGGTCCTTCCTGTAGCCCTGGGCACCCAGGTGTGGTAGGAGCCTTAGAAAGTGGAAATGGGAGAATCTTCTGAGCACAGGGAGGGAGGGGCGGCTCCACATCCTCCTCTCTAAGGCAGTGCCTCCTTCTCCCCCAGGTGGTCAGGACAAACCCTTCCTGTCTGCCCGGCCCAGCACTGTGGTGCCTCGAGGAGGACACGTGGCTCTTCAGTGTCACTATCGTCGTGGGTTTAACAATTTCATGCTGTACAAAGAAGACAGAAGCCACGTTCCCATCTTCCACGGCAGAATATTCCAGGAGAGCTTCATCATGGGCCCTGTGACCCCAGCACATGCAGGGACCTACAGATGTCGGGGTTCACGCCCACACTCCCTCACTGGGTGGTCGGCACCCAGCAACCCCCTGGTGATCATGGTCACAGGTCAGAGGCTTTCTGTCTGGGCTTCTCACTGTCCCACCTCCTGAATCCCAGAGCTTCTGGTGGGGGTGTCCATCAGGGTCCCATCACCCAGGCCCCAACTGTATTTGGGGTCAAGGGGGATTGAATACAGGGGAAATGGGCGCTGTGGTGGGAAGAATCACTGTCGCCAATGATGGCTACATTGTAAACCCTGGAGCCTGTGACTATTTATGTTATAGGGCAGGGGACTGAAGGGGAAGGTGGAGCTCAGGTTGTTGATGAGTTGACCTTGAGATGGGGAGACAGCCTGGACTGTCCTGCTGGGCTCAGTGTAATCACAAGGGTCCGCGTGAGAGGTGGAGGAAGAGGGGAGTGGGGATTAGAGCAGTGTAGTGGGAGGGAGACGCTATCAGCCACTGTGGGCTTTGAAGGTGGAGGAAGGCCACTAGTCACAGAATGCAGGTGGCCTCTAAGGGCTGGAGAAGTCAAGAGAACTGATTCGCTGAGTCTCCAGAGGGAACGCAGCCCTGCAGATGCCTTGATTTCAGCACAGGGAGAACTGGATCCAATTTCTGTCCCCAGAAGTGGAAGGGGTCAGTGTGTTCTCTCCTGCTGCCATGTTTGTGATAATTTTCTGCAGCAGCAACAGGAAACCGACACAGGAACCCAGGTCAAGGACAAGCTAGGAAACCAAACAAGGATAGCCAGGTGTGGTGGTGGGCACGAGTAATCCAACGACTGGGGAGGCTGAGGCAAGAGAATCACTTGAACCGGGGAGGCAGAGGTTGCAGTGAGCCAAGACAACACCACTGCACTCCAGCCTGGGTGAAAAAGTGACTGTCTCAAAAATAAATTAATTAATCAATTAATTAAAGAAACCAAACAAGGAGAAGGTTGGCTACCGTGGGATCAGCAAGGGTGGGATGCTGATGCCACCACCAGGCTCCATCCACATAGGAAGGGGTTGATGCTCCTGGAACCAGCACCAGGGACCACCCTATGGAAGCTGGGGCCATGGAGAAGGCACAGACATGGCAGGAGAGGCTCCCAATCCCCATCAGGAACAGGGTGTGTGGACACTGATGTCTGCCTTACTGATGAGTTGATACCTCTGCCAGAGACTCCAATTTGTTCAAAAGAGATTGATTCAGGCTGCTGAGAGCCTGGACATGCAGCCTGTCCTCTTCCACCCCCACATAGACAGCAGGAAAGAGACTAGTGGGAAAGAGATACAACAGCCCAAGAGATGAGGCTCTCTTCACAGTGGGAAGGGAGTCAGGGGCTACTGGAGACAGAGGGACAGAGAAGAGGGAGGAAGACAAATGGAGGGACCTGCACCAGGGGATATGGGCACAGAAAAGACACGGAGACACAGAGAGGGAGGAGAGAGACAGACCTCTGGGAGGGGAACCCTCACTCATTCCAGGTGCCATGGATGGGATGATAAAGAGAGATGCCTTCTAAACTCACAACTTCTCTTTCTAGGAAACCACAGAAAACCTTCCCTCCTGGCCCACCCAGGGCCCCTGCTGAAATCAGGAGAGACAGTCATCCTGCAATGTTGGTCAGATGTCATGTTTGAGCACTTCTTTCTGCACAGAGAGGGGATCTCTGAGGACCCCTCACGCCTCGTTGGACAGATCCATGATGGGGTCTCCAAGGCCAACTTCTCCATCGGTCCCTTGATGCCTGTCCTTGCAGGAACCTACAGATGTTATGGTTCTGTTCCTCACTCCCCCTATCAGTTGTCAGCTCCCAGTGACCCCCTGGACATCGTGATCACAGGTGAGAGTGTCCAGACATTCTTCTCATTGTCATTGGGACACAGAGTGAATGATCCAGGACTTGGAACCCCCAGGTGGTCATGAGGAAGATAAGCGTGGGATTCTTATGGAGAGAGACTGACTCGGTGAGGTCTGTACCAACAGAGACAGGGAAACAGGAGACATAAGTACAGACCAGGTGTCATAACAGAGGACAGACACAGGGGCCATACGGGGAAGTAGAAAAGAGAGAAAGAGGTAAAGGAGACACTCAGACAGACAGACATGTGCCAGAGAGAAGTGTCCTTCCATGCTGACTTTGCTCAGAGACCTGGCACAGGTTAGAAGTTTCATTTCTGTTTTGTCTCCACAAAGTGCTTCTACGAGGAGAACCCAAGGACACCCATATTTCTGACCTGAGTTGGGCCCTGTGGCCTCAGGCCTTGTGGCATCTACAGATGCCATGTTTATTCTGACACCTCTGCCTTCCATGCAGTGGAGCCATAATTATCCCAGGATATCATGGCCCCAGAACACCAACCCCTAAATACTGTGTGTACTTGGTGTCCCCAGACTAGATTCTGAGGCTCATATTCCAAATAATCCTACATATAATAGGATCACTGAGAGACACAGAGATAAATCAGGGACTTCAAAAAGCAAAGGCATAAACACACAGAGAATGAGCCAGAGGAAGGGGATTGAGAGACTCACAGACACACAAAAAGAAAGAAAAGAGGGCAGAGGAGTGGAGAGAATGCTGGAAGGGAGGAGAGAAAAGCCCCAAAATCAGAACCCTGAGGGAGGGGCACAAAGACAGAGAAAGATAAAGATGTGGGGATGGATTGCAGAGATTCCAAATAGAACTAGAGAGACTGAGAGGCAGAGAAAGACAAGGAGATGGAGAGAGACAGATGATAGATGGATAGATAGATATAGATAGATGATAAATAGGTAGATGATAGATAATGGATAGGTTATAGATACATAGATGATGATTGATAGATGATACATAGAGATGATGATGATGATGATGATGAAGATAGATAGATAGAAGACACATATATAAATATATAGATACATAGATGATACATAGAGACTGACAGGCAGACAGAGAGGTAATAGAGAGAGAGAGAGATGATACATAGATACAGATAATACATAGATGATTGATGGATAGACAGATAGACAATTGATAGATAAATGATACATAGATATAGATGACAGATAATTTGTAGATAGACACAAAATAGATAGATAGATAATAGATAGAAATATGCAGAAAGTTATGAACAAGACAGAAAGTGAGAGACTCAGAATTATAGAAAAAGGAAGATCAAGTCAACCAATCCAAGGAGAGTCAGAGAGAATAAAACAATCCAAAAAGGGAAAGCATACCCAGGGGTGGGGAAGTGAGGTCAGAGACCTAGAGAGACAGAGAAGGCGGAAGGAGGAAATAGACATGAAGAGAGTTGGGGTGGAGGGTGAGAGAGAGAGAGAGCATTAGGTCATAGAGCAGGGGAGTGAGTTCTCAGCTCAGGTATGAGGGGAGCTGTGACAAGGAAGAACCTCCCTGAGGAAACTGCCTCTTCTCCTTCCAGGTCTATATGAGAAACCTTCTCTCTCAGCCCAGCCGGGCCCCACGGTTCAGGCAGGAGAGAACGTGACCTTGTCCTGTAGCTCCTGGAGCTCCTATGACATCTACCATCTGTCCAGGGAAGGGGAGGCCCATGAACGTAGGCTCCGTGCAGTGCCCAAGGTCAACAGAACATTCCAGGCAGACTTTCCTCTGGGCCCTGCCACCCACGGAGGGACCTACAGATGCTTCGGCTCTTTCCGTGCCCTGCCCTGCGTGTGGTCAAACTCAAGTGACCCACTGCTTGTTTCTGTCACAGGTGAGGAAAACCCGTGTCTGTCCCATGTCTTATGATCCTAGAGCCATAGCTGAGGAGCTTCCTGCCGATGATGGGGAGAAGCATGGACAGATGCAGAGAGAACACGAAGACTGGGTGTGAGGGGGGGGTCAGGGTGCAGGATGGCAGACAGGGCACCTCCAAACCCTCTTGCATGGCCTGCATGGAGGCCCATGGTCAGGGCTCCAGGCACCCAGGCAGATGGAGAAAGCGGTCAGGACAGACCCAGAGAAGGGGAGACTGGGCTCAGTTTGGGGAGATCAGAGGTTCCCTCAGCCCCTCAACCTTACCCATTTCCCAGAAGCCCATCCTGGCCTCTCACCCACACAGAGAGATGTCATCACCAGCAACCCCTACACTCTTTTCTTTTCATTTTCAAAAATATTTATTGAGGTTAAATGTAACTATATAATTTACCAACTTTACCATTTTTAAAAGTAAAATCTAGTGGTCATAAATACCTTTATATGCTGGGTGTGGTGGTTCACGGTTGTAATCTTGGCGCTTTGAGAGGCCAAGAAAGGTGGATCATTTAAGATCAGGGACTCGAGATCAGCCTGGCCAACATGCGGGAAATTCATCTTTACTAAACAGACAAGAAAAATTAGCCAAGCATGCCGGCATGCACCTGTAGTCCTAGCTACTTGGGAGGCTGAGGCAGGAGAAGCACTTAAAGCCAGGAGGCAGAGGTTGCACTGAGCCGAGATCATGCCACTGCACTGCAGCCTGGGAGACAGAGAGAGACTCTGTTTCTAAATAAATAAATACATCTATATTCTTTTTTTTGTTACCCTCCACCCTTCCCTTCCTGGCCTCTGGTATCCACCATTCTATTCTCTACCTTCATGAGATCCACCTTTTATCTCCTGCATGTGGTGAGAAATGGGAATCTTTGTAATGACCTCCAGTTCCATCCATGTGGCTGCAAATGACAGGATGTTATTGTTTCTATGGATGAGTAGTCTCCACCGTGTGTGTGTACTACAGTTCTCTATCCATTCACCCACTGATAGGCAGGTAGGTTGACTCCACATCTTGGCTACTGTGAACAGTGCTGGAACAGTCATATGAGTGCAGATATCACTTCGATACACTGATGTCCTTTCCTTTGGATATAAACCCAGTAGTGAAATTGCTGGACACTATGAAAGTTCTCTTTTTTTTTTTTCTTTTTTGAGAAAGAGTTTCCCTCCTTAGTCCAAGCTGGAGTCAAAGTGGTGCGATCTTGGCTCATTGCAACCTCTGCTTCCTAGGTTCAAACGATTCTCCTGACTCAGCCTCCCTAATAGCTGTGATTACAGGTGCACGCCACCATGCCTGACTAATTCTTGTATTTTTTAGCACAGACGGGATATCCCAATTTTGGGCAGGCTGCTCTCAAACTCCTGACCTCAAGTGAGGTGCCTGCCTCGGTTTCCCAAAGTGCTGAAGTTACAGGCATAAGCCACTATGCCCAGCCTCCTTTTAGTTTTTTAAAGTTTTTCCATACTTTTCTCCATAATAGTTGTACTAATTTACATTCCTACCAACAGGGTACCAGGGTTCTCCTTTCTCTACCATCTTGCCAGCATTTGTTTTGCCTGTCTTGCAGATAAAAGCCATTTTACTTTATTTATTTATTTATTTATTTATGTTGAGATGGAGTTTCACTCATAGTCGCCCAGGCTGGAGTGCAAGGGTGTGATCTCGGCTCACTGCAACCTCTGCCTCCCGCGTTCAACTGATTCTCCTGCCTCAGCCTCCAAAGTAGCTGGGATTACAGGCATGTGCCACCACGCCTAGCTAATTTTTGTATGTTTAGTAGAGAGGGAGTTTCTCCATGTTGGTCAGGCTGGTCTCCCGACCTCAGGTGATCCGCCCACCTCCGCCTCCCAAAGTGCTGGAATTACAGGCGTGAGCCACCGGCCTAAAAGGCATTTTAATGGGATGAGATGAAAACTCATCGCGATTGTAATTTACATTTCTGTGATGATGAGTGATGCTGAGCACTTTTTCATATACGTGATCGCCATTTCTATGTTTTGTTTGTGGAGAAATGTCTCCTCATGTCTTTTGCTCGTTTTTTAATTAAATTGTTTTATTGAGTTGTTTGAGCTTCTTATATTTCCAGTTATTAATCCCATCTCAGATGAATAGTTTGCAAATATTTGCTCCTATTTTGTGGGTTGTCTCTTCACTTTGTTGGTTTATCTTTGGTGGTGCAGAAGTTGCTTGGTTTGATGTAATCCTAATGGTCTATTTTTTGCTTTGATTACTTGTGTTTTGAAGGTTTTAAACAAAATGTCTTTCGTCAGACAAATGTCTTCCCCATTATTTTCTTCTACATGTTTCATAGGTTCAGGCCTTAGACTCATGTTTTTAATCCATTTTCATTTGATTTTTGTGTAAGGTGACAGGTATAGATGCAGTTTTATTCCTCTGCATGTAGATATCCAGTTTTCCCCACACCATTTATTGAAGACTGTCCTTTCTTGATTGTAAGTTCTCGGCACCTTTGTCAAAGTCCATTAAATGGGCTGGGCATGGTGGCTCACACCTGCAATTCCAGCACTTTGGGAGGCCGAGGCGGGTGGATCACCTAAAGCCAGGAGTTCAAGACCAGGCTGGCCAACAGAGTGAAACCTCGTCTCTACTAAAAATACAAAAATTAGCTGAGCATGGTGATCAGTGCCTGTAATACCACTACTCAGGAGTTTGAAGCAAGAGAATTTCTTGAATCCAGGAAGTGGAGGTTGCATTGAGCTGAGATTGCACCTCTACACTCCAGCCTGCATGACAGAGCAAGATTCCATCACACACACACAAAAGAAAGCCATTGGATGTAAATGCATGGATTATATCTGTGTTCTCCATTCTGTTCCATTTTTTATGTGCCTTTCTTTATGCCAATGTCATGCTGTTTTGCTTACTACAGCTCTGTAACATATTTCTAAGTCAGGTAGTGTGATGCTCCTGTTTTCTCTTTATACCTTCAAGTCTCAAGACAGTGGGCATCGCACACAAAAATTATGGAGAAAAGGATCCCAAGACTCCCAGGGTCCAACATTAGATAACAGAGTGTTGGCCATGAACCAACCTCAAAGATTTCCATTGAGTAGAGGACAAGCACCCTCATTTCCTCACATCTCTCCTGTCCCGTGTTCTAGGAAACCCTTCAAGTAGTTGGCCTTCACCCACAGAACCAAGCTCCAAATCTGGTGAGTAAAGGACCCCTCTTATCTCTGCTTTTGGAAACCTGGGGAGGTGGAAGCCTTGGATGCAAGTGTTGGCTCAAACCTCCCAGCTCTGTGAATGAGGGCCTGTCTTCCACCATCTCTGAACTCCAGACACTCCAACAGTGAAAGGGATCTAGGGCCACCAAAGGGCTCAGCGAAGTCTCTTTACCTTTAATTTCCTGCAGGTGAGACCTCCTACAAGCTAGAAGAATAATTGCCAATCTGACATCCTTCTCAGGAAACATGCAGTGTTTTTTCTGCCTGCATTCCTAACTGGAGGATAAATTCCCGGGGGCTTGAGAGAGGGAAGGGAAGGGAACATCTGATGAGGGTGGGTGTTTTAGAGAAGTTCCACTTGCCAAGGAATGAATTACTGTTGGTCATCAGGCAACCCTGGCTGACTCAGCAGAGCAAGAGCCTTGCCGTAACAGAGAACAGAGCTCATGCACGCACACTTCGACTCACTGACTCATTCAGCCACAGCCCCATGCTCAGGCTGTGCAGTGTGGAAGCTTTTCCTATTGTTGCCATAACAAATTTCCACAAGATTCGTGGGTGAAAACAAAACGGTTATTTAATTATCTTACAGTGCTGTAGCTCAAAGCATGACGTGCATGTCACTGGGCTAAAATCAAGGTGACAGCAAGGCTGCCTTCCCTCTGAGGGTTCCAGGCAAGAATCTGCTTCTCACTTTTCTCAGCTTCTAGAGGCTCCCATGTTCCTTGGCTCCTGGTACCCTTCCTCCTTCCTCAAAGCCCACAAAGACTGGTCACATCTCACATGGCATCACTCAGACCCTTCTTCCTTACCACACCTCTTTCTCTGAATGCTGCTCTCCCTTCTTCCCCTTCTTTTGAAAACTTGGGGATTCTATTGGGTTCACCAAGATGAAAATCCATCATAATCTCCCGGAAATCATCCAGGATACCCTCCTTTTAAGTTCAGCTGACTAGCAACCATAATTCCATCTGCAATCTTCATTCCTCCTTTCATGTAAAATAACATATTCACAAGCTATGGAGGCTAGGACATGGACATTTTTGGGGTGGGACAACATTCTCCTGCCTTCCACAAACAGTGAACAAGATGCATTTGGCCTCTGTTCTTGGGACACTGATCTTGCAGATGGTTAAATGGGAGGGCAGAAAATGTAGGCACAAGGGGACCAATAAATGAATGATCTATTGAGAAGCATCTGTGCATGAAATCTATTTATTTATGTATTTACCTACTTGTTTATTGAGACGGAGCCTTGCTCTGTCGTCCAGGCTAGAGTGCGGTGGCATGATCTCGGCTCACTGCAACCTCCACCTCCTGGGCTGAACGGATCTCCTCCCTCAGCCTCTCCAGTAGCTGGGATTACAGACCACAACCACCACGCCCGGCTAACTCTTTTTGCATATTTTCTGTAGAGAGGATGTTTCACCATGTTGGCCAGGCTGGTCTCAAATTCCCAACCTCAGGTGATCCAATAGCCTCTGCCTCCCAACACGCTGGGATAAGAGGCATGAGCCACGGGGCCAAGCCAAATTTTCAAATCAATAATAGATAATGCTGAGTGTATGATTTCAGGTGACAGAGAAGTTCTCACTAATCAGATATTTGTGACATTAATGAAAAACACGGATTGAACCCCTGAAAGATGGGCGGAAGGATTTTGCACACACAGCTGTCAGCCGTGAAGGCACAAAGGTGAAAATAATCTGATGTTGAAGGAAGAGGCTCTGCCTCAAATGCTGGGAATGACGTGGGGAGAATGACAAGACGACTGTAGAGAGACGGAGAGCACACTGGGTACACAGGAAACTAAGGAGCAACAAGGAGTGTGTGTTTGACACTCACAGCCATTGGACTCACCTCGGGGTAACCAGGAATCCCTACATGATTAATATGACTGACATGAAAATAAGGGAGGCCCAGGTGCGTAACTGGAATCTAGGAGACCGTGGAAAAGGCAATTCCCGCCCCACTGGTGAAATGTGGTGCTGATTTAGACACTAAATGAATGAAGTAGATGGATATAAGATATGTTTGTGAGGTAGAATCATTGGCTGGAAAGGCTTGCTGGGTTTGATTTTTTCCTGGTAGTTTAATCCTCGCTTCACTAACTTATTTCTGAGATTTATTTCTCCTGCATCTAAATCAATACCTGGCAGAGGAGGGAGAGCTAGATGAGGGGTGGTGCAAATGAAGGGACCTAGTATAGCATAATATACAAGGCTGTGAACGGTGGCTCACGCCTGTAACCCAGCACTTCAGGAGGCCAACGCGGGTGGATCACATGAAGTCAGGAGTTCGAGACCAGCCTGGCCAACATGGAGAAACCCTATCTCTACTAAAAATACAAAAATTAAACAGGCATGATGGTGGTGCATGACTGTAATCCCAGCTACTCTGGAGGAGGAAGCAGGAGAATGACTTCAGCCCTGGAGGCAGAGGTTGCAGTGAGTGGAGATCGCGTCACTGCACACCAGCCTGGGCTACACAGGGATACTCTGGCTCAAAAAATAAAAATAAAAAATACATAAATATAATAATATACACAAATGATGCAGGCACCTGAATTCCAATCATCATTTTTCTATTTCTCTATAATTACTTCTTTGATCCTTTATCTTATCCATTAGAAAATCAGCCTAAAACCTCTTCCATATTTGGCTTTCTGTGAACATGAGATCATATGGAAAATATGAAAGCCCCCTGAACCCACCAGCACAGGCCCTGAAATAGGGAAAGTGCTCTGTTCATCACAAGAAACTTGCCCCCTCACCCAAATCCCCCACCTCACCCCTACTTCCAATCACCTGTGGAGATACAGATAGATCATGGGGAGGTAAACGCTAATACTCCTTGGAGTGAGTTCAGATCTTGGAATCAGAGATCAGCACCAGCACTAGCTCCTGCTCCCCTTTCCTACTAATTCACAGGAGGACAGGTGGTTTTGAAGCAATAGATGGTGGAGGGGGTGGTCTTTCCCCCAGCCTCTCAGGTGGAACAGCAGCCTAACATGTGTCTCGCGAGATCACAAAGAGTAGCACGTTTCACATGGGCTTCATCATTATTTCCTGGCTGTTTGACATAAGAGAATTCTACTTTGCTTTTTTGATCTTGATTTCACTTTTGTGTCCTTTTCTTGGAGAATGTAATTTGAGTCAAGAGGGTTGTGGATGTAGAAACTGTAAAGCACATTCACTGTGTATCAATCCCAGTTCAGTCTTTCCAGAGAAGACTCTAAACACCTGCTGTACTGCACCTGGGCCTATGCAAATTTCTATCACTCACCGTCACTCCAGGGAGACAGAACACACAGAGAATACGTTACATAGGCAGGTTCATTACTAACAGATAAGCAGCGAGTGACAACAGAAGCCTACATTTCAATGTGAGCCAGTCCCTCAAGGCTCAGAAAAGCTTCTCGGGACATATGGAGTCACCTCATTTGCAGTGTATCTGGGGGAAGCCAGAAAATAGCCCAGCCTGGGTTTTGTACCCTGAAGCCACAGGAAGCACTCAGCTAAAGCACTGCATGACGTCCTCCTCCAGGAAGAACAGGAAGACAGCACAGGCTGTTCTGAGACGTTCCTCCTGATCTCAGGACGTTGCTGTCTTAGTCCATTTTTGTTGCTATAAAAGAACACTTGAGCCTGGGTTACTTCTTTTTTTTTTTTTTTTTTTGTATAGTGCTTCTGATGAGCTTTTTTTTTAAATTTTTATTATTATTATACTTTAAGTTTTAGGGTACATGTGCACAATGTGCAGGTTAGTTACATATGTATACATGTGCCATGCTGGTGTGCTGCACCCATCAACTCGTCATTTAGCATTAGGTATATCTCCTAATGCTATCCCTCCCCCCTCCCCCCACCCAACAACAGTCCCCAGAGTGTGATGTTCCCCTTCCTGTGTCCATGTGTTCTCATTGTTCAATTCCCACCTATAAGTGAGAACATGCAGTGTTTGGATTTTTGTCCTTGTGATAGTCTACTGAGAATGATGATTTCCAATTTCATCCATGTCCCTGCAAAGGACATGAACTCATCATTTTTTATGGCTGCATAGTATTCCATGGTGTATATGTGCCACATTTTCTTCATCCAGTCTATCATTGTTGGACATTTGGGTTGGTTCCAAGTCTTTGCTATTGTGAATAGTGCCACAATAAACATACGTGTCCATGTGTCTTTATAGCAGCATGATTTATAGTCCTTTGGGTTTATACCCAGTAATGGGATGGCTGGGTCAAATGGTATTTCAAGCTCTAGATCCCTGAGGAATCGCCACACTGACTTCCACAATGGTTGAACTAGTTTACAGTCCCACCAACAGTGTAAAAGTGTTCCTATTTCTCCACATCCTCTCCAGCACCTGTTGTTTCCCGACTTTTTAATGATCGCCATTCTAACTGGTGTGAGATGGTATCTCATTGTGGTTTTGATTTGCATTTCTCTGATGGCCAGTCATGGTGAGCATTTTTTCATGTGTTTTTTGGCTGCATAAATGTCTTCTTTTGAGAAGTGTCTGTTCATGTCCTTTGCCCACTTTTTGATAGGATTGTTTGTTTTTTTCTTGTAAATTTGTTTGAGTTCATTGTAGATTCTGGATATTAGCCCTTTGTCAGATGAGTAGGTTGCGAAAATTTTCTCCCATTTTGTAGGTTGTCTGTTCACTCTGATGGTAGTTTCTTTTGCTGTGCAGAAGCTCTTTAGTTTAATTAGATCCCGTTTGTCAATTTTGGCTTTTGTTGCCGTTGCTTTTGGTGTTTTAGACATGAAGTCCTTGTCCATGCCTATGTCCTGAATGGTAATGCCTAGGTTTTCTTCTAGGGTTTTTATGGTTTTAGGTCTAACGTTTAAGTCTTTAATCCATCTCAAATTAATTTTTGTATAAGGTGTAAGGAAGGGATCCAGTTTCAGCTTTCTACCTATGGCTAGCCAGTTTTCCCAGCACCATTTATTAAATAGGGAATCCTTTCCCCATTGCTTGTTTTTCTCAGGTGTGTCAAAGATCACATAGTTGTAGATATGTGGCATTATTTCTGAGGGCTCTATTCTGTTCCATTGATCTATATCTCTGTTTTGGTACCAGTACCATGCTGTTTTGGTTACTGTAGCCTTGTAGTATAGTTTGAAGTCAGGCAGCATGATGCCTCCAGCTTTGTTCTTTTGGCTTAGGATTGACTTGGCAATGCAGGCTCTTTTTTGATTCCATATGAACTTTAAGGTAGTTTTTTCCAATTCTGTGAAGAAAGTCATTGGTAGCTTGATGGGGATGGCATTGAATCTATAAATTACCTTGGGCAGTATGGCCATTTTCACGATCTTGATTCTTCCTACCCATGAGCATGGAATGTTCTTCCATTTGTTTGTATCCTCTTTTATTTCATTGAGCAGTGGTTTGTAGTTCTCCTTGAAGAGGTCCTTCATATCCCTTGTAAGTTGGATTCCTAGGTATTTTATTCTCTTTGAAGCAATTGTGAATGGGAGTTCACTCATGATTTGGCTCTCTGTTTGTCTGTTATTGGTGTATAAGAATGCTTGTGATTTTTGTACATTGATTCTGTATCCTGAGACTTTGTAGAAGCTGCTTATCAGCTTAAGGAGATTTTGGGCTGAGACAATGGGGTTTTCTAGATATACAATCATGTCATCTGCAAACAGGGACAATTTGACTTCCTCTTTTCCTAATTCAATACCCTTTATTTCCTTCTCCTGCCTAATTGCCCTGGCCAGAACTTCCAACACTATGTTGAATAGGAGTGGTGAAAGAGGGCATCCCTGTCTTGTGCCAGTTTTCAAAGGGAATGCTTCCAGTTTTTGCCCATTCAGTATGATACTGGCTGTGGGTTTGTTATAGATGGCTCTTATTATTTTGAGATACGTCCCATCAATGCCTAATTTATTGAGAGTTTTTAGCATGAAGTGTTGTTGAATTTTGTCAAAGGCCTTTTCTGCATCTATTGAGATAATCGTCCGGTTTTTGTCTTTGGTTCTGTTTATATGATGGATTACATTTATTGATTTGCATATATTGAACCAGCCTTGCATCCCAGAGCCTGGGCAACTTCTAGAGAAAACAGATTTGTTTGCCTCACAGTTCTGCAGGCTGTACTGGAAGCATGGCACCAGCATCTGTTTCCTGTGACGGCCTCAGGCTGCTCCCACTCTGGCAGAAGGGAAGGAGGGTCTGTCTGTGCAGAGACCACAGAGATCACATGGCAAGAGAGGGAGCAAGGGGGAGGGCGAGCGATGGAGCTTCCAAGCTCTTTTTAACAACCAGCCCTCCGGGAACTAATAGAGGGGGAACTTGCTAACCCCATCATGTGGGGCAGCATTAATCTATTCATGATGGATCCACCTCCATGACTCAAACACCTTCCCATAGGCCCAAACTTCCACACTGGGGGTTAAATTTCAATATTTCAGTGTGAGGTTTCAAAGGGTCAAACATCTAAACTAAAGCAGCTGTATCCTCAGCATGTTCTATGGTTTCTATGAGAGCTGTAACTGAGAAAGCAGGAGAAAGCTGGGTCTCCCGCCATCAGGCTGCTTGTCCTAAGGAGATGTTCCATGTGGTTACCTGTCAATCAAGAAATGAGACAATCCATAAAGAGGAACTGCTATGATTAGCTTCTTATTGGATTCCCATCTTCCTCCAGGTATCTGCAGACACCTGCATGTTCTGATTGGGACCTCAGTGGTCATCTTCCTCTTCATCCTCCTCCTCTTCTTTCTCCTTTATCGCTGGTGCTCCAACAAAAAGAGTAAGTCTCACGAAGCAGAGGCCAGAGAGCTCAGGGCCATGTGGGGAAGCAGGATGGGAGCACGCGGGTGTGTGTTCCTCACTGGCAGGATGGTCCCTGGCCCAAGGGAGGAGCCACAGAGGCAGGGCTTTCTAGAGAGAGCACCAGACAACCTGCCCCTGCCTTCAGCTCACAGACCATTGCCTGGTTCTGAACTGTATCCTCACATCCCCTGCAGCCACTGACATCCAGAAGCTTCCATGACAGGCAGAAAGTGGGAGACAGAATCAATGGGATGCCAATTGAGAGCACTTCATGGGATGGGGTCTTGAACTCAGAGAGATAGAATGTCTGAGTCTGGATGTTGGCAGCTGAAGAGCCTCAGGCACCTACAGCCTCCCCCTGTGGGTTGGTGTCTGCCCATGAAATGAGGACCCAGAAGGGCCCTCCAAGCGGTTTTGATGACTTCCGTCTCCTACAGATGCTGCTGTAATGGACCAAGAGCCTGCGGGGGACAGAACAGTGAATAGGCAGGTAGGTCCTCCTCGGCCCAGCCTCACGGATACAGTCTTATCCCTAATAGTCCTGAAAAATGTGAGCACCCTCCCTCACTCAGCATTTCCCTCTCTCCAGGACTCTGATGAACAAGACCCTCAGGAGGTGATGTACGCACAGTTGGATCACTGCGTTTTCATACAGAGAAAAATCAGTCGCCCTTCTCAGAGGCCCAAGACACCCCTAACAGATACCAGCGTGTACACGGAACTTCCAAATGCTGAGCCCAGATCCAAAGTTGTCTCCTGCCCACGAGCACCACAGTCAGGTCTTGAGGGGGTTTTCTAGGGAGACAACAGCCCTGTCTCAAAACCAGGTTGCCAGATCCAATGAACCAGCAGCTGGAATCTGAAGGCATCAGTCTGCATCTTAGGGGATCGCTCTTCCTCACACCACGAATCTGAACATGCCTCTCTCTTGCTTACAAATGCCTAAGGTCGCCACTGCCTGCTGCAGAGAAAACACACTCCTTTGCTTAGCCCACAAGTATCTATTTCACTTGACCCCTGCCCACCTCTCCAACCTAACTGGCTTACTTCCTAGTCCTACTTGAGGCTGCAATCACACTGAGGAACTCACAATTCCAAACATGCAAGAGGCTCCCTCTTAACACGGCACTTACACACTTGCTGTTCCACCTTCCCTCATGCTGTTCCACCTCCCCTCAGACTATCTTTCAGCCTTCTGTCATCAGTAAAATTTATAAATTTTTTTTATAACTTCAGTGTAGCTCTCTCCTCTTCAAATAAACATGTCTGCCCTCATGGTTTCGATAATGTGACTCTTTATTCGCCAAAAGTTTCCAGTGTTATCATTACTATGTCCATATAACCTGATATGTTCTCTACTGGGTTCTCAGCCCTGGACTCTGAGCTTCTGGAAGCAGGGTGGAGCCTCATTTGTCTCTGGGACTCCAATTTCCATCCAAAGATGCAGCACATAGGAGGTTCCAAGGATCGTGAATCACATGAACAAGTGATATTCTTACTCTCTGCAGACCTGGAAAGCTGGCAGAGTCATTCCAAGATGAAACATTTGTAGAGTCATAGGCCTTGTTAGTCTCATCTCCACAGGGACACATGTCAACACATCATCTTTCATACTATAAATATACAGTCGCTCCTCCATATCTGTGGGGTTTACAGGTGTTTATTGAACCAAATATAAATCAAAAATATTCAGAGAAAAAATCCACAAAGTTCCAAAAAGCAAAAATACTATATTGTGTGGACACAAGTGAGGTGGTGTGTAGGCTGTATCAGGAATTATAAGTAATCTAGAGATGATTTCATGTATACAGGAGGATGTGCATGGGTTATATGCAAATGCTGTGCCATTTCATGCAACAGGCTTGAGCATCTGCAGATTTTGGTGTCTGGTAGGGAGGGGGGTTTCCTGGAACCAATCACCCATGAATAGTGAAGGACTACTGTATATAATTTTCATTCATCAATTTTATAAATAAATCATCAAAATGTATGATAATAAGATAAAAAATTAGCAGTGTTTTTATGGTGTGAAAATAAGCTTAGATTTATTTTTTCCTGCTTGTAACCCTCTGGTCCAATGTTATTTACTGAGAAGACATTCTATTCCACCTTAATCCGCATGGCAGCCTCTGTCAACTATAAAAGGACTGTGTGTACACAGATGTATTTTACACACTCTTTTCTGCTCAGTGGCTCTCTGTGTCCACTCTCATGAGGATGCTGCACTTTATGTGGCCTTATAGAACCCCTTAAAATTTGGCAGCCTGAATCCTCTAATTTCTCCTTCCTCTTTAAGATTGCCATTATTATTATTATTGGCTATTTGCTTTTCCATGTAAATTTGTAATCATTTTTCTCATTTCCACCAAAAACAATGCTTGTAATTTTGTTGTGACTCCCTTACATCTACAGGTAAGTTCTGTCCTATAGAAACATAATGCAAACCACATGCATTCTTTCAAACTTGCTAGTATCCAAATTAAAAAGCTAACAAGAAACAGATAAAATTAATTTAAGTTAACCCAATGGACCCAAAATATTATTAACCCAACAGACCCAAAATATTAACCTAATAGATCCAAAATATTATTTTATTATACAAGTAGACTCAAAATATTATCATTTCAACATGTAATCATGTGTCATCTTGGAAAACATCAGATCCCTGTCTAGGTGGGCAAAGATTTTTCTTCGTAATATCTCATTTCCACATTTCCACTTGGCACAGAAACTGCCCCCAAGGCTCAGGATACTAAGATGCAGTAGGAATGGGTAGATGTATCTGGAGGAAAGTGACTGAATGAAATTGAGACATCAGAGTCTGGGGAACTCACTAGAACTACAGGGACAGTGTGGGGGAGGGAATTGGGAGATGTTGATCAAAGGATACAAACTATCAGGTATTCAGGAGGAATGGGTCTGAAGATCTCTTGTACAGCTTTGCCACTATGGTTGACAATACTGTACTCTATACTTGAAATTTACCAGGAAAGTAGATTTTTTTTTTTAAATATGGAACACTTCACGAATTTGCGTGTCATTCTTGCGCAGGGGCCATGCTAGTTTTCTCTGTATCGTTCCAATTTTAGTATATGTGCTGCCGAGGCAAGCATGGGAGAGTAGATTTTTTTTTTTTTTTTTTTTTTTGAGCTGGAGTCTTGCTCTGTCACCCAGGCTGGAGTGCAGTGGCGCGATCTCGGCTCACCGCAAGCTCCGCCTCCTGGGTTCACGCCATTCTCCTGCCTCAGCCTCCCGAGTAGCTGGGACTACAGGCGCCCGCCACCACGCCCTGCTAATTTTTTGTATTTTTAGTAGAGACGGGGTTTCACTGTGTTAGCCAGGATGGTCTCGATCTCCTGACCTCGTGATCCGCCTGCCTCGGCCTCCCAAAGTACTGGGATTACAGGCATGAGCCACCACGCCCGGCTGGGAGAGTAGATCTTAAGGGTCCTCACCACA